>NC_000005.10:178920682-179071128 GCF_000001405.40 Homo sapiens | reverse complement strand
CTGTAATCCCAGCACTTTGGGAGGCTGAGGCAGGCAGATCACGAGGTCAGGAGATCAAGACCATCCTGGGTAACACAGTGAAATGCCGTCTCTACTAAAAATACAAAAAAAAATTAGCCAGGCTTGGTGGCAGGCGCCTGTAGTCCCAGCTACTCAGGAGGCTGAGGCAGGAGAATGGCGTGAACCTGAGAGGCGGAGCTTGCAGTGAGCCGAGATCGCACCACTACACTCCAGCTTGGGCAACAGAGCAAGACTCTGTCTCAAAAAAAAAAAAAAAAAAAAAAAAAGAGCGATCAAGGCTGCTAATCATCTGGAAATGGATGAGAGAGTGCTGCATAAGGAAAGACAACTCCACTCAAAATGCTTATAATGTTCTCACTTAGAAACACTTGTTGTCTAAGCTGTATTTTTAAAATGCAAGATGAGAATCTGGGTTGTGGCAGGTGGCTTTATAAGAAGATTATAAGAAATGTGAAGTTTGTTTTAGGTTTCCAGCAATAGAAACTGACTTTGGCTCATTTACACAAGAGACCAGGTAGCTCCAGGGAAACTGATAGTCACAGAAGTAGGCTTGGAAAATAAAACAGAAACTAGGGCAGCAACATTCCGGACCACAGCCAGGATCACACTAGGAAACCAGACTTGTGAGAATACTGTTGTCATGGAAAAGTAGATGGTACAGCCTCACCAGCACAAGACAGCTACTGCTTTTGCTGTGCCACTCCTCCTTCCCCTACAAACTCAATGTTACTGATGTTGCCACAAATTACCAGACTGTACTCGATATCAGAGGCCCCCAAGCCTTTTGGCACCAGGGACAGGTTTCGTGGAAGACAGTTCTTCCACAGACAGGAGGGTTGGGGGAATGGTCTCAGGATAAAACTGTTCCATCTCAGATCACAGGCATTAGATTCTCATAAGGAGCACACAACCTGGGCCCCTCACGTGCGCAGTTCACAATAGGGTTCATGTTCCTATGAAATCTAATGCCGCTGCCGATCTGACAGGCGGCAGAGCTCAGGTGGTAATGCTCGCTCACCTGCTGTTCACTTCCTGCTGTACCGCCTGGTTCCTAATAGACCAGGAGCTGGTACCGGTCTGCAAAACTGGGGGTTGGAGACCTTTGTTCTCTTCCTGTTTCCTCGTAGCTCTAGCTCCTGACTGAAAGTCTGAAGTAGGTCAAGCTTGGGTCACAAGCCTGTACCTTATCTATAATTAAAGCTAGAAAAGTAAATATCTGGTTTTTTTTGTTTGTTTGTTTTTGAGACAGAGTCTTGCTCTGTCGCCCAGGCTGGAGTGCAGGGGCGCAATCTCGGCTCACTGCAAGCTCCGCCTCCCGGGTTCACACCATTCTCCTGCCTCAGCCTCCCGAGTAGCTGGGACTACAGGCGCCCGCCACCGCGCCCGGCTAATTTTTTGTATTTTTTAGTAGAGACGGGGTTTCGCCATGTTAGCCAGGATGGTCTCGATCTCCTGATCTCGTGAGCCACCCGCCTCGGCCTCCCAAAGTGCTGGGATTACAGGCGTGAGCCACCGTGCCCGGCCTTTCTTTTTTTTTTTTTTTTTTGAGATGGAGTCTTGCTCTGTCGCCCAGGCTGGAGTGCAGTGGCCAGTCTGGGCTCACTGCAACCTCTGCCTCCCAGGTTCAAGTGATTCTCCTGCCTCAGCCTCCTGAGTAGCTGGGATTATAGGCACGTGCCACAATGCCCTGCTACTTTCTGTATTTTTGGTAAACATATTCTGCCTGGCAGTTGGTTGAAAGAATTATCATCAGTAGAAAGGAATGTCTGGGTCATGATAACGGGTTGTGGAGACCTAGGTTTTGTCAGGCAGATGAAACCTCCAAGTAGCAGGCTTTAGAGAGAATAGACTGTAAATGTTTCTTATCAGATTTAAGGTTTGTGTAGATATTAATGCTGGAGGGTACAATGAGGCTTGTCCAACCCCTACTTCCTGTCACGGCCTGAACCAGTCTTTCAGGTTAAATTTCAAGGGCCAAGGAGGAAGTCCATTCAGACAGCTGCAGGGGGCCTTCTAATTTTATTTTTGGCTTCCACCCCTATGCCTCAGAATGTAATAATATTTGGAAACAAGATCTTTAAAGAGGTAATTAAGTTAAAATGAGGCCTTTAGGCTGGATCCTAATCTAATACCGGCATGTGCTTCTAAGAAGGGGAGATCAGGACACGGACACGCTCATGCGCAGGAGAGGCCATGTGGCAGGAGGCAGCGAGAAGGCAGCCATCAAGCAGCCAAGGAGGCCTCAGGAGAAGCCAGACTTGCCCACACCTTGATCTTGGACTTTTGGCCACCAGAACTGCAAGAACACACATTTCCATGGTTGAGGCCACCTCGTCTCTGGTATTTTGCTATGGTGCCCTGGCACACTAATACAGGCTCCGTGTTGCTGTTAACAGGACACTCACAGCAAACCCAACTTCCGTCTTTACCACCAATCCCGTTCCCCTAGGCCTTAGAATACTTCCAGGAAAAAAAAAAAAAAAGCATTCTTTTTCTTTTAAAATTTCATTCGCTTTTTAAAAAGTATACAAATTAAGCATAATCAGAGACTAAAATTAAACAAATTAAACTTCAGAAAAAAATGTCTAAATTGAAAACAAAAACACAATGTAAATCATACTAAATCCTATTACTCAAGACAACTTTTGTTCCTCTTTTAGAAATGTATTCCAGACTTTAGATCCAATTACACACACCGTGTTCTTTTGACTATTCGTTAAACAATATGAAAACAGACGCGTGCTAAAAAATAGAAAGGATGCAAAAGAACACGCAGTGCAATGTTAGGGATTCTCTCCTAACTCCAATTAGCGGCCCCATTCTACAGGTAACTAGCAGTGCTTTACACATGTATCCTTTTTTAATGGGAAAATTCTCAATCCTGCTTTACTAGCATTTCATGGATCTTTATCACATCCACATAGAGAAATCTTTTTTTTTAAACAGACAGGGTCTCACTCTGTTGCCTAGGCTGGAGTGCAGTAGTGCAATAAATCATAGCTCACTACAGCCTTGAACTCCTGGGCTCAAGTGATCTTCCCACCTGAGCCTCCCGAGTAGCTGGGACTATAGATGTGCACCATCATGCCCAGATAATTCTCTTGTTTTTCTGTAGAGCCAGGGTCTTGCTATGTTGCCCAGGCTGGTCTTGAACTCCTGGCCTTAAGCCATTCCTCCACCTTAGCTTCCCAAAGAGCTGAAATTACAGGCGTGAGCCACTATGTCCAGCCTCAAACCTCATTCTTCTTCTTCTTTTTTTTTTGAGACAGAGTCTCACTCTGTCGCCAGCTGGAGTGCAGTGGCGCCATCTTGGCTCACAGCAACCTCTGCCTCCCAGGTTCAAGCGATTCTCCTGCCTCAGCCTCCCAAGTAGCTGGGATTACAGGCGTGCGCCACCACACCCAGCTAATTTTTGTATTTTTAGTAGAGACGGAGTTTTGCCATGTTGGCCAGGCTGGTCTTGAATTCCTGACCTCAGGGTGATCCGCCTGCCTTGGCCTCCCAAAGTGCTGGGATTACAGGCTATACATATTTTAATTCTGACAAATGTGGAAGATTATACTTTCCCAAGATGACCACATCAATTTCTCTCTCATCTTACGTGCTCTTTGTATAATGTGACACTGACATTTCTCCCACCAAGAAGTGAGTTCTATGTTTCCTTCCTTTGAAGCTGTCCAGTGGAATTCAATGGAAATGATGCATGTAACTTCCAAGAAAAAGTAGTAAAATAATACACCTTTCACCTGGCTCACTGGATGCTCACTTTTGGAGCCTAGTCGCCATGTTGTAAGCCCAAGTCACAAGGAGAGATTATGGGTAGATGCTCCATCCAATAGCCCTATCTGTGATCACAGCAATGAGCCAACAGCAAGCATCAACTACCTGACATGTGAACGACTGAGGCTTCAAACGATTCTATAGCCTTTAGTCTTTAAATCTCTCAGCTGAGACACCCGACTTTGTGTGGTAAGCTGTTTCTCTCACACACCTGCATTCCTAACCCAGAGAAACTGTGAGAAATGATAAATGATTACTGTCATTTCATATTCCAAATCTTCTTACTATATAGCATGTATATCCTTCCATGTTAAAAATACAATTCTACTTGATCATTTAAAATTACAATGTAATTGGGATGCCATAAGGAGAAGAAAGAGAGAACAGAGCAGAGTGAATATCCAAAGTAATAATGGCTGAGAATTTTCCAAAATTAGCAGCACATCTCAAACCTCAAATCCAGAAAAGTCAGAGAAGGCCAAGCAGGATGACTACCAAAATATCTACACCTAGGCATATTATATGAAAACTGCAGAACACCAAAGTCAAAGGGAAAATCTTGAAAGAAGACAGGGAAAAAGATCTTACCTATAGAGAACAAGGATAAGAATGACAGTGGATTTTCCCATTAGCAACATGTAAACAAGAAGAGAGTGAAACAAAATATTTAAATTGTTGAGGGAAAAAATCACCAATGTAGAATTCAATATCCAGGGAAATTATCCTTCAAAAAGGATGAGAAGTAAAGCTCTCTCAGACAAACAAAAACTGAGGGAATTCATTACCAGCAGTCCTGCCTTGCAAGTAATAGTAAAAGAAGTTCTTCATGGGGAAGGAAAATAAAATAGGTCAGAAACTTGAATCTACCTGAAGACAGGAGGGAAGATAGAGAAGGAACAAATGATGATAACATTTTTCTTACTCTTGATTTAGAAGATAACTATTTGCTTAAATTAATAATAGTAACAGTGTATTGGGTGGTGATAGCATATGGATGAGTGAAATGAATGGCAGCAATGCCGTAAGGAAGAGGGGAATACTCTGTTATAAGACACCTCCACTACCCATGGTGCAGTATGTTATTTGAAGGTGGACTTCGATTAGTTGTAAATTTATATTGAAAACTATAGGGTAACCACTAAAAAAAAGTTTTTAAAGCATAATTGATATGTACAGACAGCAGAAAGATCCATGGTTGCCATACTGATATAAATGAATGTTTGAATAAATAAATAAATGGAGAGAAGCAACAATCCTCCATACAGATTTCCAAATAATGTATGTTGATTCTTCACCTCTAGGAGTGGTGCCTGTCTTGCCAGGCCGTAAGTGTGGGCTACACAGTGTCGTCTTTCGAAGGAATACAGTATGGGAAGGCAGAAAAAGAAAGTAACTGTAGAGTGGAGAGACTTGACAAACAGTGCCTCAGTCAGGTGATGAAGGTGAACAGCAACAGGGATGTCATGTTATTAGTATGCAATTGTAGTATGCTGTGATCAGACTGACGCTTCATCTCTGTGACCTTCCTCCCCAAAACCCAACCCCAGGCTAATAATGAGAAAAAACATCACGCAAATCACAATGGAGGGGCATTCTACAGAATACCTAATCAGGGCCGGGCATGGGGGCTCCTGCCTGTAATCCCAACATTTAGGGAGGCCAGGCAGGCGGATCACTTGAGGCCAAGAGTTCGAGACCAGCCCAGCCAACATGGTGAAACCCCGTTTTTATCAAAAATTCAAAAATTAGCAGGGCGTGATGGCACATGTCTGTAATCCCAGCTACTTGGAGGCTGAGGCAGGAGAATCACTTGAACCCAGGAGGCAGAGGTTGCAGTGAGCCAAGATCGCATCATTGCACTCCAGCCTGGGTGACAGAGTGAGACTCCACCTCAAAAAAAACAAAAAAACAAAAACAAAAACAAAAAACAACCTAACCCAGTACTCCTCAAAACTATTATGATCATTACATACAAGGAAAGTCTGAGAAAGCCCCAAAGCCACAGCAGCCTAAGAAGATGTGAAACTGAATGTCATGTGGAATCCTGGGGGGCCCTGGCACACAAAAAGGACAGCAGGTAAAAACTAAGGAAATGTGAATAAAGCATGGACTTCAGTTAATAATAACATACCAATGGTGGCTCGTTAATTGTAACAAATATACCAAATTAATGTAGGGAATAACGGGAAGCTGGGTGCAGGGTATGATAACTGTGTAATTATTCTCTCGTCTAAAATTGTTGTAAAAAAAATAAAGATTATTCTTTTTAAAAATACTGACAATATCAAAAAAGTACTTATTTACTGCAGAAAAATATGTAATTAACAAATTATGACTATTAAGCAATCAATACCAAATTCCATGTGCCTTTTCCCCAGACAATAAATTATATATTACATGGAAATATGTAATATTGCAAAGAACCTATTTTTTTCCAAAAAATATGCTTGTTTGCAGTTTTCCTAACAAGTAGAGAGAAATTTCTCCCTCGGTACCCTTAATGAGGACAGAATGTGATATTGGATATCACCATTGCACTGACTTAAATGGGGTAATGAGACCTGTGATTGGGACACTCTGGGTCCCCAGGAGACTTAATCAAAAGGGTTACATAGGCCGGGCGCGGTGGCTCACACCTGTAATCCCAGCACTTTGGGAGGCCAAGGCAGGTGGATCACGAGGTCAGGAGATGGAGACCATCCTGGCTAACATGGTGAAACCCCGTCTCTACAAAAAAAAAAAAAATTAGCCAGTGTGGTGGTGGGCGCCTGTAGTCCCAGCTACTCGGGAGGCTGAGGCAGGAGAATGGCGTGAACCCGGGAGGCGGAGCTTGCAGTGAACCGAGATGGCGCCACTGCACTCCAGCCTGGGCGACTGAGCAAGACTCTGTCTCCAAAAAAAAAGGGGGGTTACATATTGGCCGGGCACAGTTGCTCACACCTATAATCCAGCACTTTGGGAAGCCAAGGCAGGAGGATCGCAGGAGCCCAAGAGTTCCTTCCAGCCTGCAGTGAGCCGAGATCGCACCACTGTACTCCAGCCTGGGCGACAGAGCAAAACTCTGTCTCTAAAAAAAAGCAACAACAACAACAACAAAAACCCACAAAAGGATTAGATATTGAATCAGCTGTCACCCCTTCCAAAAACAACAACAACAAAAACTGGCTCTGAGTTGCAAACAAACCTACCTCTGCCCTTGGCTAAAATGAAGTAAGTCTCTCCTGCTGTGGATGTAGGCGAGCTCAGATAGCGAACAACCCTACCTTTGGGCAGCAGATAGCCCAGGTAATAGCTGGATATTCCTGTGCACTGCATTTTGCTGGTCTTTACGTCTTGGTTTCCTGAAATATCCATCTGCTTCTAATTAAGGAATCAGGCCTAGTGAGGCGAAGCACACCAAATCTGGCAGGTCCTAAAATAGTGCTGCTGCTGCTGTTACTGATACTGATCATAGTAACAGCTGGAATTTATGGAGGTCTTAATACGTGCCATGCACTTCTCTCAGCATTTTAAATGTACTTTTTCAGAGCATGATGCTAACAGTATAGACTGTCTTGTTGGGATCAAAAGCCAGCTGTGTGACCTTGATCAAGTTACTTGCTTCTCTGTGCCTGTCTCCTCATCTGTACAATCCAGATATTAACAGTCCTCTTGTAAGGATTAAATGACTTACTATATGAAAGGAATAGATATTTTTATACATAGTAATACATAGAACCTGGCTCACAGCAAATATGCTTGTAATTACTACTTTTTGGGGTTCTTTTTGAGACAAGGTCTCACTCTCGTGCCCAGGCTGGAGTGCAGTGGCACAATCATAGCTCACTTGCAGCCTCGAATTCCTGGGCTCAAGTGATCCTCCTACCTCAGCCTTCTTAGTATCTGGGACTATAGGTGCTGCTGCACCCAGCTACTTTATTTTTAATTTTGTATAGTGACAAGGCCTCACTATGTTGCTCAGGTTGGTCTCAAACTTCTGGGCTCAAGCAATCCTTCTGTCTTGGCCTCCCAAAAGTGCTGGGATTATAGGCGTGAGCTACTGTGCCCAGCTACTACTGTTACTAATGCTCATAGCAACTCAGTCATGTATGTATATTATTAACCCCACCAAAATTGAGGAAATGGGGTACAGAGAGATAAAATAACTTGCTCAGGGCTACATCCCTAGCTTGGATTTGAAGCCATGAAGTCAAGCTCCTGAGTCCACATTTCCAGCCTATGGGCTATTGGAAAAGGAGTCAATGAAGAATAGGCTTTGGAGTATGGCAGAAAAAATGCACAGAAGGGAGGGGACTAG
Organism: Homo sapiens; assembly: GCF_000001405.40. NCBI lineage: Eukaryota > Metazoa > Chordata > Mammalia > Primates > Hominidae > Homo > Homo sapiens. The sequence continues at coordinate 179,063,030 of NC_000005.10, read as the reverse complement.
AGGAAAGGGAGCTGGTGTTGAAGGAAAGATGGGACTTCCACGTCGGAATGACAGACAGGAATGCTAGGAAAAAGGTCAGGCCTGAGGACAGATTTGGGGAAGATACTCAGAACGCTGAGGGTTAAAGTAATGAAAATGGATCTTAAATGGGGAAAGAACAAGAAAAAAGAGCCCAGGTAGAGAGGCTAAACTAGCAGAGAAAAAAGAAAAGAATCAGAGAAGGAAATAGAGGAATCAATCAGACAGGTGAGATGGACATTTGGACAGCTTAACATCCCCGCTGCACTGGGAGGGGAAGGCCCCAGGCCTGCCTCCTTCTGGGCTTCAAAGCCCAAACCACGCTGAACTCCTTCTGGGATGCCCTTAGTCTTCTCTAAGCACCAATATCAGTCCTGGCCTCCAGTATAAACTCAGAATGCCCCCACTTCTGGGATATTTCCCCTGAACATTTAATCATGTTTCCTAAGATCGATACCACGAACTCCCAGAAGATGGAAATGACAGCTTTCCTCTTTCCATCCCGTGTGCTGCACAGGATCCTGTACATAGGGCTCAATAAATGCTTGTGGAGGCTGTCTTCCGGCCCTTCCACATCTTAGCCCCAAGTGTGACTATATCCTCTATGAAGACAGAGACTGCTTCATGCCCCATTCTCCCCACCCAGCACCAGTGTAGTGGGAAGCATATGCTCAGAACTGCCTCAAATGTGGATCACAGAGTGAGCGGGGTGAATTAAGAGTAGTCTCGGGACAAAAGAGGCACATTCCTCAGCAGCCCCTTGCTAAGCCCAAGACACTGGGAAAAACTTTTGAGGTTCCGGATTCTTCATCGTTTTGGTTGGACCAAAAAGTACCTGGACAAAGTCTGGAAACATGTCTACCATCTCTGAATCCAGAAGCCAACTGATGAAAAAGACAACCTTCACTCACTCTCACCTGAGCAGACAGCAGATCCACAGCCATCCCTTCCTCCTCAGTCTTCCTGCCCAGGGAGAGCAGAGTGTGGACACGGTGGGTCTGCAGAGGAAAAAGGTGTCAAGAGGAACCCTGGCGTCAGGAGATGGCTTGGAGAGAGGAAGTTACAACCGCCCATAATGTCCATCAGGTCTCAAAAAAGCCACCCCCCGTAATGATGTAAAGCAAGAAGAGTGTTTACTAGTTTACTAGGGCAATGTGCCAACCCTACTTCTATTTCTGCACTTGGACTCTTTAACTTCCACCTTCGGGCCTCTCAGCTACCTCTAGGCAAACCGTGACTCCCCCATGGATGTCTGGAGTCCTTCGCTAGCTTTGAACTGCACACCTAAAAGTCGCAATGAATATCCAGTCTCCTGGGGCGCCACTTCCCAGCCTAGCTAGCTGATCCTCATCCTGCCTGCCCTGCCTCACCCTTTCCTCCCTATGGTAGCCACGATAAAGAGGCTTCCCCGCATCCCTACCCTGGTGACAGACCCCACTGCTCGCCCTGAGTGGTCCTTCCGTGGAGTGCTGTGTTCTCCCCAAGAAACTGTGAGCATAATCCAACCACTCAGCTTTCCCAGCCTCTTTACTAGATCTTCGTCGGGCCTTACCACACTTTACCCAAGGTAACAGGATTAAGGCACTGTCCCCACCCAAAGCCAGAGCTTTGCTGTCCCTCCTAATACTCCACAGGTGCCGCCTCTAATGGCACCCACAACCAGAAACAGCCGTCGCTGCCCAAACACCAACCCCAGGTGGGAGAGGTGGAAACCGTGCCCGCCCCACAGAAAGCAAGGGAAGAGGCTGCCTGGGGCAGCCGGGCAAGTGTGAGGGCCTCCAGGCCCGCGATCTGCAGCGGCGACTCAGGGTGCCCCCTAGCATGGAGCCAACCTGGGGCTCTGCCAGGCCAGTTCCAGCGGGTGCCTCGACCAGCCCAGGGGAAGCTGCCACACAAGGCCTCGGTTACGCGACGAAGCGCACCTCCTCCCAGGAAGCGGTGAGTGTTTTCCACGCAGTATTTTCAATCTTCACATTTACAGATGTTACGGAGACTGAAAACCAGGAGGTCGTGACCTGCCCAAAGTCATAAGGGCCGGGAAGGCAATCCTGATCCTAGCCCCAGGCCCCAGTTACATCTGGGGCAATGACCTCGCCACTCTGCCTCGGTCTCCTCCTGACAGAGCGGGAACAGCGTACCGCCACCCTATCTGTTAGCAGGGATGCGCGGAGTTCGTTCGGGCGATGCGCTAGTCTGGTGCCTGGCACCCGAGCGCTCTCGGCGGGCATCAGCTATTGCTTTTATTATTTCCGTTACTCAGAAGAAAATGCACAGAAGAAAATCGCAGAATGAACAACGACAAAAGGCTGGCATCCCCACCCCAGCGGCCCGGCGCACCCAGCTCACCTGGCGAGGCGCTCCCTCCCGCGGGTCTCCGGCAGTCCAGGCCGCTCGCGGACGGCGCCCCGGGACCCAGTGGCCAAGGGGCCCGAGCCGCGTAGGGCTGGTCCCAGAAGCCCAGACGAGGCTGCACGCCGCCCACTCGCTGGAGAGGCCCGGATCCACCCCGGCCCGGAAGAGACCACTGCGAGCGCCTCAACCCCAGGCCGGCAATCCTAGCCAAGCCTGGATGGCCCAAGCCAGGAGAACCCCCGAAAGGCCGCGAGCTGTCCCCGAAACCCCGCCAACCGCGGGAGAACTACCACTCCCGGCATGCCTCCGGCCCCACGCCGACTACACTTCCCAGGGGACGCCGCGGTGCGCGCTGCGAACTCCGGGAGAGGAACCGCCTCCGCCAACGAGAGCTCTCAAAGGCGACAGTGCGCGGAGGGGCTGCAGTGCGAGGGAGTACGCACGCCGCACACGAGGCAGGAGGTCTCCAGCTGCTGGCCGTGCTGCCTACAGCCCGCGCACTTGTTAAGCAAGCGGAGTAGTTTGAAAAAACAAAACCGGAAATTAGATTCATTTAGGAGGATCAGTGTGCTGTAGCTCCCACCGCTGGTTGTGATTACTTTTCTGTTGATACAAAATAATTTACATAATGTATAGGGTCCATGTGAGTGCTTGTTACGTGCATAGACTGTAATGATCATCAAGTCACAGTATTTGGGGTATCCATCACCTTAAGCATTTATCATTTTTATGCGTTGGTATCATTTCAAGCCCTCTCTTCGATTTACTTTGAAATATACACAATATTATTGCCAAGTATAGTCACCCTAGTCTGCTATTAAATATTAGAAATTATTTCTTCCATCTAACTGTATGTTTGTACCCATAACCAACCTCTCTTCATTCCCCTTCCTTTCTGGCCTTCCTGGCCTTTGGTATCTATCCTCCTGTTGTCTATGTCCATGAGATCAAGTGTTTTAACTCCCGAATATAAGTGAGAACATGCAGTACTTGTCTTTCTGTGCCTGGCTTATTTCACTTAACATAATGACCTTCGGCTCCATCCATGTTGCTGTGAATACATTATTTCATTCATTTTTATGGCAGAATAGTATTCCATTGTGTCTATGTATGACATTTTCTTTACCCATTCATCTATTGCTGGTAGGTTGAGTCTATATCTTGGCTACTGCAAATAGTGCAGTGACAAACGTGAGTGCAGGTATCCTTTTCATATACTGATTTCTCTCCCTTTACCAGTAGTAGGGTTGCTGGATTGTATGGTAGTTCCATTTTTAGTTTTTTGAGAAACCTCCACACTGTTTTCCATAGTGGCTGTACTAATTTACATTCCCACCAATAGTGTATAAGAGTTCCCTTTTCCCCAAATCCTCACTGGCATCTGTCATTTTTTTGTCTTTATAATAATAATCATTCTAACTGGAGTGAGCTTATATCTAATTAGAAAGTGTTAGTAACCAAAAGAGCATGATATTTGTATAAAAATAGACACACACACCCCCCCATGGAACAGAATAAGAGAACCCAGAAATCAGTGCACCCATTTACAGCCAACTGATTTTCAACAAAGGTGCCAAGAACACACAATGAGGAAAGGACTACGTCTTTAATAAATGGTTCTGGGGAAAACTGGATAATAATATGCAGAAGAATGAACTTGGACCCCTTCTCTCTCAACATATATAAAAGTCAACTCCAGATAGATTAAAGATTTAAAGACTCCAAACTATAAAACTGATAGAAGGAAACATCGGGACAACTCTTCAGGACATTGATCTAGGCAAAGATTTTTCTTTTTCTTGCCTGTGCTTTTGAGGTCTGTGGCTAAGACCTCAAAAGCACAGGCAACAAAAAGAAAAATAAACAACTATATTAATCTAAAAAGTGTCTGCACAGCAAAAGAAACAACAGAGTGAAGCAACAACTTGAGAGAAAATATTTATAAATTACTCATCCAACAAAGGACTAATACCCAGTATATACAAAGAATTCAAATAACAGGTTTGTGACCAGCCAGGCCAATGTGGCGAAACCCCGTCTCTACTAAAAATGCAAAAATAGCCAGGCGTGGTGGTGCATGCCTGAAACCCCAGCTACTTGGGAGGCTGAAGCAGGAGAATTCCTTGAACCTGGGAGGTGGAGGTTGCAGTGAGCTCAGATCATGCCACTGCACTCCAGCCTGGGTGACAGAGCGAGATGCCATCTCAAAGAAAAAACAAAACAAAAAAAACCACAACAGTATACAAAGAGTCCCATTAAAAATGGGCAAAGGGCTGGGCACAATGACTCATGCCTGTAATCCCGGCACTTTGGGAGGCGGAAGTGGATGGATCACTCGTGCCCAGGGGTTCCAGAGCAGCCTCAGCAACATAGTGAGACCTTGTCTTTACAAAAAATAAACGAAATTAGCCAGGCATGCCAGTGCAGGCCTGTAGTCCCAGCTACTCAGGAGGCTGAGCGCAGAGGATTGCTTGAACCCAGAGGTTGAGGCTGCAGTGAGCAAAAATAGCACCACTGCACTCCAGCCAGGGTGACAGAGTGAGACCCTGCCTCAAAAAAAAAAAAAAAAAAAAAAATAGGCAAAGGACCTGAATAGACATTTCTCAAAAAGACATTCAAATGGCCAACAGGTATATGAAAAATGTTCAACATTACTAATCATCAGAGAAATGCAAATCAAAACCACAAGATAGTTATGTTATTTTAAATTCTTTTAATGTGTACCATACACAGGAGATAATGTATTCATAGGCACAGATTTTTGTTTTTATTTATTTATTTATTTATTTATTTTGAGATGGAGTCTCACTCTGTCGCCAGGCTGGAGTACAGTGGCGCGACCTTGGCTCACTGCAACCTCTACCTCCTAGGTTCAAGCAGTCTCCTGCCTCAGCCTCCTGAGTAGCTGGGACTACAGGCACGTACCACCATGCCCAGCTAATTTTTGTATTTTTAGTAGAGATGGGGTTTCACCATGTTGATCAGGATGGTCTTGATCTCTTGACCTCGTGATCTGCCCACCTCAGCCTCCCAAAGTGCTGGGATTAGAGGCATGAGCCACTGTGCGAGGCCCATGGTTTAATAATAATAAAACAAATACCCACATACCCAACACTTGGGTTACCAAAGAGAAATTTACCCAAAATTTGGAAGCCTTGTTCACAGTGCTCCCAAGTCATTTTCCTGAGTTGCTTTCAGCATTCCTTTGTTTTGTTTGATAATTACTCCACATGCATGTGTCCCTAAACATTGTTTACTTTTGCAACATTTTAAATCTTTATAAAAAGACAACCTGCTATATACATACAATATACAATATGTATGTATATAAAGGTAATCTGCTATATACATACAATATACAATTGTATAGTTTCAATTGTACATTGTATTCAACTTTTATACAATATACAATATGTATGTATATAGCAGATACCCTTTATATAAAGATTTCTGCATATATATGTGTATATGCCTATATGTGTATATATGTATATATATCATGTGTATATACATGCATATATGTATCATGTGTATATATGTGTTCAACACAAACACTTTTAGATTAGTCTACCTTGATACATGCAAAGTTCATTCCTTTTCATTACTGTATAGGATTTCATTATTGATTCATTCAGCAACAACAAAAATTATGTTGAACACTTATCCTGTGCCTAGCATTGTGCCAGATTCTGGAAATACACCAGTGGGCAAAACTGGCAAAACCTGTGCACAAATGCAGCTTGAATTTTACTGGAAGAGAGAGAGGAAAGATAATAAGAGGAATAAATACGTTTTGAGATAGAGATGAGTGTGAAGGCAACCAAAATAATTCACTCCAAAACATACTTCCCTGACATATCTTGAGATGGCTATTCAGAGAGCTTGCAGACAGGAATAGTCCTGAAAAGCTGTCTTTTGTAGAGGAGACTTGCATCTGTTGAGGAAATGAAGTGCAGTCAACAACAGATGTGAATAGGCTTTCTCTGAGGCTCTCCCCTCGTCCAGATCTGAGAAAGACTAACTGAGAGTCTGACACCTTTGAAAATCTGGTGCAAACTTTAACCACGGGCTACCATTTGCTCTTAGGCTGCTACCTGTGCAGCTTCATTTGCATAATGAGTCTACCTTTTCTTCAGGTCTTTCCTCTTCTCTCCCTCCTATAACCCGCCTTAGCCGTGATCCAAGCCCCTGTTCTTCCTGTAACTTCAAGATGGTATAAAAATATCAACTACCTTGCCTTTCTTTGAGTTTTTGTATGTTGTATCACTCCTGTGCTTGTATGAACTTTAATAAAATTTGTATGCCTTTTTTTCCTATTCAGCTATGTATCATTTTGTTTTATAGACTCAAATTATCGAAACTTCAGGGGAAAAATTTAAACTTCCCTGTAAGTGCAAACAAGAATTTAAAAAGGGAACAGGAACATGGAGGGTGGGAGAGTTTGCAATTTTACACAAAGTGGTTAAGAAACATTTCATTGAGAGGGTGACATTTGAAGAAAGACCTGCAGAAGATGAGGGATGGGCCAATTTAAGTATCTGTGGGAAGTCTTTCTGGCAGAATGAAAAGCGGATTCGAATACCCTGAGGTGGGAGCATGCCTGGCTTGTTGAAGGAACAATAAGGACACTGTTGCTGAAGCAGAAAGAAAAGGGAGAGAACAGTAGGAGATCCTAGGCAAGGGGGCAGAACGTGGAGGTTCTTAATGGGTTCTGTGTCAGTGGATTTCACTCTGAACGAGACGAGAATGCGCTGAGTAGCGGAGAGTGATAAGACTACCTCCTTGACCAAACTTTAGTCAGGCCGTTCTGAGCCCTCGTTTTCACTAGGCATTGACCTTGGCCCTCATTCTGTCCTGCCCAGCCCAGTCTTTGCAAAGAGTCTTGATAAGTCAGTTTAGCAAGAATCCCCCAACTCTTGACATCTGATCATTCTTACTATCTGACAGAGTTTCTCATCCCCCACCTTTGCTGTGTTAGCAAGAATGCTGTAAAGCCAGCTGAGCAAGAATTCCCTTGCCCCGATGGCTCTGAAACCACCCTCGCAGGGTTAGTGAGAATTTCAAGCCAGAGTTTAGGGAGAATTACAGTTAGACATTGAGCAGGGTGCAGTGGTGCCCTTTGACCCACTTCCCTGAAGCTCTAACTAACCAAGAGTCCTGTAGTGTGCCGACCACCTGCTCCCCCATTGCTCCTATAGGCAGAATCTCTGACACTGGATCTTCTAACCCAAGAATTGCTTAAGGTGTTTTCCAGATCCTGAATTCCAGCAGGATGGCTGACGCCAGTGGGTCTGAAGATCCCCGCCAGGGAACCGACTAAACACAGGAATGCAGTTTCTTCCTCTCCCTGTCCCATGACTTGACCCCTTACTTTTCAACCAATCATCAATCCCCACACTTTAGCCCTTCACACAGCCAGATCCCTTAAAAACCCCATCCCCAAACCTCTCGGGGAGGCAGATTTGAGGTTTCCTCCCAACTCCTCATTTGGCTGCCCTACAATTATTAAACTCTCTGCTGCGACTTCCACTTTTGGTGCATTGGTCTGCTGTAACGTCTCCTCTGTAAGGAAGGCGAATGCCAGGCCAGACAGAACGCTAATTTGCTGACTGCAGCAATTAGAGGGATCCCCCACAAAGGGCAGGGAAAGGGGGGTTCCGGGAGGAATGCCCAGTCCAATTGCTCGCGTCTGCAGCGTAACCAATGTGCCTACTGTAAAGAAATAGGACCTTGGAAAGATAAGTGTCCACAACTGAAGGAGAAGCAAGGTGATGCGGAGCAAAAGACCACAGATAAAGACCAAGGGACTTTGTGCAATCTGGCCGAAGGGCTGCTAGACTGAAGGAGACTGGGCTCAAATGCCCCCAAGGAGCCCATGGTCAGGATGACAATAGGGGGCAAGGACATTAAGTTTTTGGTCGATACCGGTGCCACTCAGTAGTAACCACCCCAGTGACCCCCTTATCTAAGAAAACCATTGATATAATCGGAGCAACGGGAGTCTCCGCCAAGCAGGTTTTCTGCCTACCGTGGACCTGCTCGGTGGGAGGACACAAAGTGACTCATCAATTTCTGTAAATGCCTGACTGCCCTTTGCCTTTGTTAGGGAGAGACTTGCTTAGTAAGCTGAGAGCCACCCTTTACAAAACAGGGCTCCTTACAGGCTGAAGTTACCAGGAACAGGAGTTACCATGGTCCTTACAGTCCGCCGAGAAGAAGAATGGAGACTTTTTCTAACTGAGCCAGGTCAGGAGATAAAACCGGCTCTAGCTAAGAGTGTGGGCAGAGGACAATCCTCCGGGCTGGCGATCAGTCAAGCCCCTGTACTCATAGAAATTAAGCCTGGGGCCCAGCCAATTAGACAAAAGCAGTATCTGGTTCCCAGAGAAGCTCTTGAAGGAATACAGGTTCACCTTAAACGCTTGAAAGATTTTGGAATTATAGTTCCTTGCCAGTATCCATGGAACACCCCCCTCCTACCTGTCCCCAAGCCAGGGACCAAGGACTATCGACCTGTACAGGACTTACGCTTGGTTAACCAAGCTACAGTGACTCTGCACCCAACAGCTCCTAACCCTTACACACTGTTAGGATTGCTGCTGGCTGAGGACAGCTGGTTCACTTGTCTGGACTTGAAGGATGCCTTCTTTAGCATCAGGCTAGCTCCTGAGAGCCAAAAGCTGTTTGCCTTTCAGTGGGAAGATCCGGGGTCAGGTGTCACTACTTAGTACACTTGGACTCGGCTTCCCCAGGGGTTTAAAAACTCCCCCACCATCTTCGGGGAGGCGTTGGCTCGAGACCTCCAGAAGTTTCCTGCTAAAGACCTAGGCTGCATCTTGCTCCAGTACGTGGACGACCTTCTGCTAGGAGACTCCATGGCAGATGGGTGTGCAAAAGGGACGGATGCCCTGCTTTGACACCTGGAGGACTGTGGGTATAAGGTGTCCAAGAAGAAAGCTCAGATCTGCAGACAGCAGGTACGCTACCTGGGATTCACTATCCGGAAAGGGGAGCGCAGCCTGGGGTCAGGAAGAAAGCAGGTCACCTGCAGCTTACCGGAACCTAAGCTACTGCCTACTGCAGTGGCCAGCCCGGAGGATTGTCCTCTGCCCACACTCTTAGCTAGAGCCAGTTTTATCTCCTGACCTGGCTCAGAAAAAGTCTCCATTCTTCTTCTCGTGGGACTGTAAGGGCCATGATAACTCCTGTTGCCTGTAACTTCAGCCTGCAAAGAGCCCTGTTTTGTAAAGGAAATGGTGGCTCTCAGCTTACTAAGCAAGTCTCCCGCTAAAACCAGAAGGCAAGTAAGGGTATTTCTAGGAGCCGTGGGATTTTGCAGATTATGGATTCCAAACTTTGCGGTGCTAGCCAAACCATTGTATGGGGTTACAAAGGGGGGCGACCAGGAGCCTTCTGAATGGGGACCTCTGCAACAGCAAGCCTTTTGCAAGTTAAAGGAAAAACTTATGTCAGCCCCAGCCTTAGGACTACCAGATTTGACAAAGCCCTTTACACTCTATGTGTCAGAAAGACAAAAAATGGCAGTCAGAGTTTTAACCCAAACTGTGGGGCCCTGGCCAAGACCAGTGGCGTACCTCTCAAAACAGCTAGACGGAGTTTCAAAAGGCTGGCCTCCATGTCTGAGAGCCCTGGCAGCTACAGCCCTGTTAGCACAAGAAGCAGACAAGCTAACCCTTGGGCAAAACTTAAGTATAAAGGCCCCCCCCATGCAGTGGTAACTTTAATGAATACCAAAGGACATGATTGGTTAACAAATGCTAGATTAACCAAGTACCAAAGCTTGTTATGTGAAAACCCCCACATAACCACTGACGTCTGTAACACTCCGAATCCTGCCACCTTACTCCCAGCATCAGACAGCCCTGTCGAACATGACTGTGTGGAAGTGTTGGACTCAGTCTATTCTAGCAGGCCCGATCTTCGAGACCAGCCATGGGCATCAGTGGACTGGGAGTTATACGTGGACGGGAGCAGCTTCATCAATCCGCAAGGAGAAAGATGCGCAGGATGTGCGGTGGTGACCTTGGATGATGTTATTGAAGACAAACCGTTGCCTCACGGCACTTCAGCCCAGAAGGCAGAGCTCATTGCTTTAACCCGGGCTCTAGAACTCCGTGAAGGTAAGACTGTGAACATTTATCCTGACTCTCGATATGCCTTTCTAACCCTCCAAGTGCACGGAGCATTATATAAAGAAAAAGCCCTGTTAAATTCCGGGGGAAAGGACATAAAATATCAACAAGAAATTCTGCAATTATTAGAGGCAGTATGGAAACCCCAAAAGGTAGCAGTCATGCATTGCAGGGGACACCTGCAAGCTTCCACCTCAGTAAGCCAAGGAAACTCCCGAACAGACACAGAGGCACAAAAAGCAGCATCTACTCTTTACCAGGCATCAGTCACAGCCCCTCTACTCCCTCAAACACCTGATCTGGTGCCTACTTATTCTAAAAAGGGAAAAGACGTTCTTCAGGCAAAGGGAGGACAAACAATAAAAGAAGAATGGATAAAGTCACCAGATGGGAGAATAGCTGTGCCACAGCTGCTAGGAGCCGCAGTTGTGCTGGCTGTACATGAAACTACCCATTTAGGCCAGGAGTCACTTGAAAAGCTGTTAAGCCGGTATTTCTACATCTCACACTTGCCAGCTCTTGCTAAAACAGTAGCGCGGCGATGCACAATGCAAAGCAAGGTCCCCTGTTCCTCCCGGCACACAAGCCTGTGGAGCAGCTCCCTTTGAAGATCTTCAAGTGGACTTCACAGAGATGCCCAAATGCGGAGGTAACAAGTATTTACTGTTCTAGTGTGTACTTACTCTGGGTGGATAGAGTCTTATCCAACACGAACTGAAAAAGCTTGTGAAGTAACCCGTGTGCTTCTTCGAGATCTCATCCCTAGGTTTGGACTGCCTCTACGAATCGGCTCAGATAATGGGCCGGCATCTGTGGCTGACTTAGTACAGAGGACGGCAAAGGTATTAGGAATCACTTGGAAGCTACATGCCACCTACCAACCTCAGAGTTCCCGAAAGGTGGAGGGAATGAATTGGACTATCAAAAATAGTTTAGGGAAAGTATGTCAAGAGACAGGATTAAAATGGATATAGGCCCTTCCTATGGTATTGTTTAAAATTAGGTGCACCCCCTCTAAGAAAACAGGATACTCCCTTTATGAAATATTATATCATAGGCCTCCTCCTATACTGCGAGGACTTCCGGGTACTCCCCAAGAGTTGGGTGAAACTGAACTGCAGCGATAGCTACAGGCCCTAGGGAAGATTACCCAGACAATCTCAACTTGGGTAAATGAGAGGTGCCCGGTCAGCTTACTCTCCCCAGTTCACCCTTTTTCTCCAGGTGACCATGTGTGGATCAAGGACTGGAACGTAGCTCCTTCACGGCCACGGTGGAAAGGAACGCAGATCGTTATCCTGACCACTCCCACAGCTGTAAAGGTGGACAGAATCCCGGCCTGGGTTCACCACAGCCACGTAAAAAAATCCCGCAGCCCCTGAAACCTGGAGGGCCAAACCAAGCCTGGACAATCCCTGTAAAGTGACCCTGAGGAGGACGACAAGCCCTGCTCCAGTCACACCCGGAAGCTGACGGGTCCGCGCACGGCCGAAGCATGAGGAAAATCGTCATGGGACTTATTTTCCTTATGACATGGACTTGTGGGGTAAAAGCTTCCACTGCTTCTTTTCACATGGAAGACTGCTTTCAGTGGCTACATCAGGTCACTGAGGTAGGACAACAGGTTAAAACAATCTTTTTGTTCCATAGTTATTATGAGTGCCCAGGAACTCCATAAGGAACATGTTTATATAATAACACTCAGTACAAAGTATGTAATCCAGGAAGTGGGCAGCCTGATGTGTGCTATGACCCCTCTGAACCTCCCATGATCACGGTTTTTGAAACAAGACTAAGGACTGGTCCTTTTCTAGGTGACACAAGTAAAGTAATAGCTAGAGCAGAAGAAAGAGGGGTTCCCAAACATGTAACTCTAAAATTTGACGCTTGTGCCACTATTAATAGTAATCAGCAAGGACTAGGATGCGGTTCTCTCCAGAAACATAACATGAAGTGACTTTCAGAGACTGAGCTACATGCTCAGCTAATTGCAAAAACAAATTTCTACTGTTTCCTGGAATTTCAGGTACTGGCACATTTAGTTCTTCATAGAAACTCTGAAATACTGGCTCTGGAGAGCGTTTTCGAATTTCTCCTTTTATTAAAATGTTGACCTTAGGGTCTAGTCCTTTTCCATCAATGCCTAGAGATACGTGTTCTCCTTTTTCCCACTTTGGGTCTGAGGGATTTGTAATTATTAATTCTAAAGGGTTGCAGCTTCCACTTGTGCAGGAGGGGCTACTTTTTCCTTTTTGGAGCCAAACAAGATCTTTTTTATCTTTTTTCCAAGTAGCCCAGATGACACAAGACCAGTATTGACACACATTTGTACATGAATATGATTCATGGCAGATATACTTATTTTATGCTGTATAGCTTTTTTCCCAATCTAGAGAACCGCATCCTAGTCCTGACAATTTCTGGGTTCTAAAAGCCTCAATTATTGGACAATATTGCATAGCTAGAGAAGGAAAAGAGTTCACTCATCCTGTAGGACGGCTTAGTTGTCTTGGACAAAAACTGTATAATGGTACCACAAAAACAGTTACATGGTGGAGTTCCAATTACACAGAAAAAGATCCATTCAGTAAATTTCCAAAATTGCAGACTGTTTGGACCCACCCAGAATTCCACCGGGACTGGACTGCCCCCACTGGGTTATACTGGATATGTGGACATAGAGCCTATGCTAAGCTACCTGATCAGTGGACAGGTAGCTGTGTAATTGGCACTATTAAACCGTCTTTCTTCCTACTGCCCATAAAAACAGGCGAACTCCTAGGATTCCCTTCTATGCTTCCCGCAAAAAACAAAGCATAGCCATAGGTAACTGCAAAGATGATGAATGGCCCCCTGAAAGAATTATACAATACTATGGGCCCGCCACTTGGGCACAAGATGGCTCGTGAGGATATCAGACCCCCATCTACATGCTCAACTGAATCATACGTTTGCAAGCTGTTTTAGAAATTATTGCTAATAAAACCGGTCAAGCCTTGACTGTTCTTGCCTGGCAAGAGACTCAGATGAGGAATGCTATCTACCAAAATAGACTAGCTCTCGACTACTTGCTAGCAGCTGAAGGAGGAGTTTGTGGAAAATTTAACCTTACTAATTGCTGTCTACACATAGATGATCAAGGGCAAGTAGTTGAAGACATAGTTAAAAATACAACAAAACTGGCACATGTATATGTGCAAGTGTGGCACGGATTTGATCCTGGGGCCATGTTTGGAAATTGGTTCCCAGCAATAGGAGGATTTAAAACTCTTATAATAGGAGTTATAATAGTAATAGGAACCTGCTTACTACTCCCTTGTTTGCTACCTGTACTTCTTCAAATGATAAAAAGCTTCATTGCTACCTTAGTTCACCAGAATGCTTCAGCACAAGTATATTATATGAATCACTATCGATCTATTGCACAGGAAGACATAAGTAGTGAAAATGAAAGTGAGAATTCCCACTAACAAAATGAGTGAGAGTCTCAAAGGGGGGAAATGAGAGAAGAGAGAAAGAGACCCCCCCATATTGTTCTATATTGTTTTATACTCAGTACCTGTTTTAAGAAGAAACAAGGAAGCGAAACCAAAGGCAGGCAGCTGGGTGCCAGGCACCAGACCCAAAACCAGGCCTGGGCCTGCCTGACCTTAGCCTGATAGTTAAAATTCAACCCATGACCTAGCAACCAATGTTATCCATAGATTCCAGACATTGTATGGAAGGACATTGTGAAACTTCTCGTTCTGTTCTGTTTCACTGTGATTACCGGTGCATGCAGCCCCTGTCACATACCCCCTAGATTGCTCAATCAATCACGGCCCTTTCATGTAAAATCTTTAGTGTTGTGAGCCCTTAAAAGGGACAGAAACTGTGCACTCAACAAGCTCGGATTTTAAGACGCTAGTCTGCCAATGCTTCCAGAGGATTAAAGCTACTTCCTTCACTATCTCGGTGTCTATGGGGTTTTGTCCACGGCTCGTCCTGCTACAGGAACATGAGGAGGAACTAGTAAAAAAGAATGCCAAGGAAATTCAACAGAATATAGTATCTTGTGGTATAAGAGATATTTGGTCCTTGTCCTCAGTTCCTGTCACAGAGATCCTAGAACTTTGTAATTTCATGAAAGATAAGGGTGATAGAAGCATCCTTTGTTATATTTGGGTTCTGTACAAAGCTTCTAAAGCCCCTGGAACTGCCTGAGTTACAGAGGTGATAGGACTATCTTTGTCATTCATAACAAGCCCTTTTGGTCACACCTGATTTATGCTAATGAGGCAACTTAGGATGGGGCCACTAGGGAGCCTCAGGATGGGCTGGTCACCATAAAGACTAAGGGATTACAGGCTTGGAACTTTCAGCCCCACCCACTGACCTCTGGGTGGGAGGGGCACTGGAAACTACTCTTTATCAAAACCCTTCAACAAAGAGACTTGATGAGCTTTGGGGCTGGTGAACACATGGAGGTGCTGGGAGGGGGTGTACTCTGAGGGGCATGGCAGCTCAAGGCCCTTCCCCCATACCCTGCGCAATTCACCTCTTCCATCTGGCTGTTCCGAGTTGTATCATTTATTAATATAATACCCAATAAACATAAGTGTTTCCTGAGTTCTGTGTTATCATTCTGGCAAATTATCGAACCTGAGATGGGGGTCATAGGAACCCCTGATTTATAGCCAGTTCATCAGAAGTACAGATGTCTGGGACTTGAGACTGGTGTCTGATGAAGGGGCAGTCTTACGGAACAGAAGCCTTAAATCTGTGGAGTCTGACATTGACTCTGGGTAATTAGTGTCAGAATTGCATGGATTGTTGGACACCCAGTTGGTGATCAGAGAAGTGGAGAATCAGTTGTTGGTGTAGAAAACACCCCAGAGTATCCTGAAAGCCAAGAACAGACAAGGTGTTTACCAGACTTCTGGTCTGTATGTAAAGAGCTTGGAAGTTATCGTTCCTGTCCTTACAATAAGAAAAAAAGCTGGGCCAGGAGCGGTGGCTCATGCCTGTAATCCCAGCACTTTGGGAGGCCAAGGCAATTGTTGAATTCCAACCAACAGAGCACATAAAGAGTTTTTACCCCAACATATATTCGGAACGTTAACTTGCATTTTAAAATGAGCATCTTGTCAATAAAAGTATGAGCTATGATCCTGGAACTACCAATGGTCAAGCTGGAGAAACAAGGTCCAGATTTACCTTCCCACCTGAAGCAACTAAAAATCCTGGAAGGAAGAATGAAATGATGACACTCAAGATGCTGGACAGTAAATCCTGGGAAACAGGAAGCCAAAGAGTCATGTCTGGATCAAGCTCAGGTAGCAGGAACCCATACAGAGCCCAGTGGTTTTCCTGGATTGACGCGATGAAGCTGGGAGTCTGGGAAATTCAAGACAGCTTGAGTTCACAGGGCAGAGTGCCAGAGAGGAGAGAGCTGCAGAGACAGAGATCCAGGGGATTTTGGAGACCACACCTTGAGGATTCAGTTGAGCCCTGATCAGCATGTGTATGTGAGGAAACTGCCTGAGGCTGGGGAAAAAGCAGCCCCAAAGGGCTAGTGAGCACAGCGCTCAGAGCTGGAAGCACGTCTGTTCCATTCTTAGCTTGGCCTGTCTAAACTCTTTATGAAAATTCTCAACTGTTATCTCACTGACGGCCAGGGTTAAGCCTTGTCTAACTGGCTCCTCTGCTCAGAAGTTTCTCCTGCTTCTTGGCCATTACCAGGCATCAGGGCATGACTGGGCTGAAAATCAACAGTGCAGATATTTATAAAGAGATTAGGGTAAGCCAGGGGAAAAAAATCTGTCATCTTGCTATCATAAGATATTGTACTACAGACAGTGTAGAAAAGAGGAAAGTTTAAATTACAAAATCTTATGGCCAGGCATGATGGCTCACACCTGTAACTCCCCAGCACTTTGGGAGGCTGAGATGGAAGGATGACTTGAGCCCAGGCGTTCAAGACCATCCTGGCCAACACAGTGGGACACCATTTCCACAAAAATTTATTAAAAAAGTAGTCAGACATGGTGGTGCATGCCTATCGTCCCAGCTAATCAGGAAGCTGAGGTGGGAGGATTGCTTGAGCCCAGGAGGTTGAGGCTGCAGTGAGCTGTGATTACACCACTGCACTCCAGCCTTGGCAACAGAAACCCCATCTCAAAAGAAAACAAAAAGATCTTCCTTAAGTGATATCTAAATTTGTTTGAATGAGACACACACAGCAGGTGCAATCTATCAGAAAATAAGAAGAATGAATAAAATTTAGTCTCCAAGCAAAAAAGCAGTGTGTTTCTTCAAGATTTTTGTATGGGAGATAACCATGCAAGGGAAGAAATATGAAATGTATGAAGAGTGGAAAAATTTATCAACTATATTATTTTTCTTAAAACAATGGAAATCCAAAAGAACCCACATAAAAGGTTTGAATTTATGCTTATAAAAAATAATTTTATTAATATTCGAAAATAGTCAATTTTCTCTTGCTACAATTCCATTTCAGCCATTGATGTGAATGCTATGTTTATATAATATAGGTTTATCATAATTAATAGGTAAGTCCAGAGTCATAAAAAAGATAAGTATCACATTTCTTATTACGGGTAATATCAGCACCTAACAGGCATCGTTAACTTTTGATGAGTTTCCTTTTTGTTATAATTCCATGATTATACACACTTTACATAAATGCAAACGCATACACAAACTTGTAGGTGGTACACTGAAGGGCTTGTTATTTCAAGCAGGCCCTGGTTAACCATTAGCAACAAGAACCAAAAAAGACCCCCCAAAACAAAAAGAACTGTAAAAAGCTCAAAAGTCAAATATGGAAAAGGATGTTAAAAACATTCAGAATATGCTTTTTCAACTATAAGGTATATTTACTCTTTTCAAATAGTCTTGGTAATTATATTACATTATTTAAAAATATTCTTTCTACTCTATTATTACAATTATTAAAAATTTTTAAATTAACCTAAATCTTCTGAGTTCCTTTATACACTAAACTAAATGCAAATTTACTTTCCTCTCTGACCCATTTAGAGATTTAATAGTAGGAGCAGTAGTCTACAGCCATAAGTATCCGATTTTCACATTTGCATGTTCCATTTTCTTTTTCAACTATGAATTCTGGTAGGTTCCTTGAGTTTTATAATCTATATTTATTTATAATTAAATTTATATTTAACTTGTGTCTTTATAAGCCATGAATCTTCCTCTACCACTTTCCTAGTTTTGTTTTTCTTTTGGTCTTTGTATTTGTTTCTTTTCACACTGTCACAGTCGACTTTTTCTTTGTACTCTCTCATTTGCCTGAAAAGTGTGTTTCTTCAAGATTTTTGTTTGGGAGATAACTGTGCAAAGGAGGAAATATGAAATGTCTGAGGAGTGGAATGACAGAAATACAGAGGCTCTATTCCACAGGCCCCTCTTCATTTTATGGGGAAATCTCTAGGCCAAAAATAAAATTCTAAGCCCCTCCCCCCACCAACTGAATGGACTCCCCTCTTGGCCAAGGGGATCTCAAAGAAACCTGAAAAACCAGTTCAAGCCATGATGGGAAGCAGAGGCTGGACATGCCGCCTACTACCCTCCTCCCTCTGGAGTTTAGGCACAACTGGCCAGCAATATTAAAATAGAGACCTTAAGACAGAAAAAAAACAGACTCTTTGTAGCAACGAGATACCAAATTCCAACCTGACTCTGATATAGGATCACATGACAGATAGCAGGCTCTGAAGGAAATAGAAGTATTTTACCCAAAAATATATTTTCTTTGACATATTTTGAAATGGTCCTGCAAAGCCATCTCTTGTGGGGGCCATTTGCATCTGTAGAGAATCTCCTTCCCTTACTAGGTCTTTTCCAGGGAGTCTGACTCGTTTTAAGTTCCAATAAAAGATACTTACCATCTATTCTTTCTGAAGCCTGCTACTTGGAGGATTTATCTATATAACAAGAACCTTGACTTCCCTTTAGGATATAGGAAATAAATAGAAATACTTAAAAATAATAAGTAGAAATACTTTAAGATGTAAGTATCCCTATAAATAGAAATACTTTAAGGGGGGGATAAGATAACCCCCTTAATCTTTTTTTTTTTTTTGAGACGGAGTCTTGCTCTGTCACAAGGCTGGAGTGCAGTGGCGCCATCTCAGCTCACTGCAAGCTCCGCCTCCTGGGTTCAAGCCATTCCCCTGCCTCAGCCTCCCCAGTAGCTGGGACTACAGCCGCATGCCACTACGCCCGGCTAATTTTTTGTATTTTAGTAGAAATGGGGTTTCACTGTGTTGGCCAGGAGGGTCTCAATCTCCTAAACTCTTGATCCACTGGCCTCGGCCTCCCAAAGTGCTGGGATTACAGGCATGAGCCACCGCGCCCGACCCCCTTTATTTTCAGCATTTCTTTCTGCTGACTTTAACTTTTCAGGTAAAATTTAACTCTTTCAGTCAACTGCCAATCAGAAAATCTTTGAATCCACCTATATAACCTGGAAGGAACCACCGACCCCACCTTCAAGATGTCCTGCCTGTCCTGGCTGCACCTAAGTACACCTTACATGTATTGATTTATGTCTTTTTCTGTAACTTCTGTCTCCCTAAAAATGTATACAACCAAGCTGTAACCCAACCACCTTGGGTGCATGTTCTTAGGACCTCCTGAGGCTGTGTCATGGGCCATGATCCTGATATTTGGCTGAGAATAAGCCTCTTCTAATATTTTATAGAGTTTGCCTTTTTTGGTCAACCAATCTGAGGCTAATTTTTCTACTTTTGTAGGTAATCTTTTTGTTTGATTCCCTACATGGGCTTTTAAAAATTGGGTTTTTGTTCCTGTTTTTGACAGAGCAGTAGCACCACCATCTCAGACAAACGCTGGCACTTGAAGTTCCAGCTCCTTTTCTAGCCTCACGCATTTCAAGGAAATCACTTCTCTTCTAACTACAAGGAACCAGAAACAGCAGACAGTAAAACACAGAAAAGACAGCTCAGGCACAGAGGGAGGTGGCGGGGAAAGTCTCTTGGGTAACTTCCAAACTTCACCCTCATACAATGGGCCCCAGTAAAACAGTGGGCCTTTCCATGCTGAATCCTTAAAAACTTTTAGTCTATAAGAAAGTGGGCTCTGACCTAACTCGGCCAGCAGCCCCTCTCAGGTTTGTTTCTCTAAAATAAATCTGTCCTTGACTGTCAAGCCACCTTTTGCATTTCTTTCCTCTTTAATTCTTACAGTTTCCTGTATCTTTAAGTATTTCTAATTTCCTATATCCAGCAATCAGGTTTTTTCCATTATTTTTGTGAGACACAAAAAAGGATAAGGCTTCCATTCTATTTTTTCCTGCCTTTTTAAATTAGCAATATATTAAATTGCTAGACTTCATGTATAGCTTTCATTATACATATATGATATGTATATGATACATACATATAAAATATGATATTATATATATATATATATATATATATTTTTTTTTTTTTTTTTTTTGAGACGGAGTCTCGCTCTGTCGCCCAGGCTGGAGTGCAGTGATGCGATCTCGGCTCACTGCAAGTTCTGCCTCTCGGTTTCACGCCATTCTCCTGCCTCAACCTCCCGAGTAGCTGGAACTACAGGCACCCACCACCATGCCCAGCTATTTTTTTTTTTGTATTTTTAGTAAAGATGGGGTTTCACTATGTTAGCCAGGATGGTCTCCATCTCCTGACCTTGCGATCCGCCTGCCTCGGCCTCCCAAAGCGCTGGGATTACAAGCGTAAGCCACCGCGCCCGGCCATATATCTGATGTTCTTATATTTTAATTCTTTGTACTTTCCTCTATGTTCTGGGAGGACTCTTTAAGTTTATATTTCAAGCTTACAGAATCCAATTTCTGAAAGGAATATTCTCTCACTTTCTAATGTGGTTTGTTCTTTAAACAATAAATATCTACATTAAAAAAATCTACACTTTGTGTACAGCATTGATCCAGTAGTCAAAAACCCACTAACCTGATCCAGCAGGCCCTGGGTCCAATGTGGTGAGGCTCAAATGAGTTTCCCTACTTCCCTCCTCACCCTCCCCATGTCTCTCCTTCCCTGCCTTCCTATCCTTCACAATGAGAAAATAAAAAAGGAAAATTATAGAAAAGGATAAATGGGAGTTGTTCCTAACCAATCTTCAGGAATTTGAAAGGCTAAAGCAAAGTATATGCATTGTGTTCAAAATCAAATCACAGCTCCTCTTTAACCTTATCCTCTTGATCAGGTGATCATCTTAATGATGTCCATTCCTGTATAAATGTGGGTCAGGGCTGATGGACTAGCTAGACTTGGGGAACACACACAGTGACATTTTAAACACTGTTTATAATGTCATGCTGACATGACTTCCACCTGGATGACAGAAACCTGTAGTAAGCTATTGACATTTTCCTGTCCTATATACACTGAAAAGGTTAAAGGAAGATCAGAATTGCACAGACACAATGAAGAGTGATTGCAAACAGTTTTTTGGGAAAAAGAACTAACTGACCTTCATGAAGAGATGTGCAGAAAGGATGGTGCTGAAATACAGAAGCCAAAGGAGGTAAGTTCTATCTGGGTCTTTCCAACACAGCTGTATAAATTCATTGAATGGGTCATGAAAAACCTACAATGTTATAATTGTGTCTTTAAATTCATTTGCTTAAAATAAATTGAAGTTATGCTATAGCTTATTTTCTCTCATCCATAGTCTGTATCATTAGACTTAAGTAGAGATCACAAAGCAGACACTGGCAAGCCGGTGGCTCTGAGACCTCCTGCCACAGGCATGACATGGGTTTTGCATTTATATGACATTCTGTAAAAGGCAAAACTACAGGGACAGTAATTGAAAGCAGGGGGTCAAACAGGTACTTGTACACCAATGGTCACAGCAGCATTATTCACAATTGTTGAAAGGTGCAAATGATCCAAATGTCAACCAATGAATGGATAAACAAAATGTGGTATATACATAAAATAAATACTATTCAGCCTTAAAGAAGGAAATTCTGGCATATGCTATAACATGAATGAACCTTGAAGACATATGCTAAATGTAATAAGCCAGATATAAAAGAACAAATATTGTATTATTCCATTTATAAGAAATACCTAGAGTAGTAAAATTCATACAGACAGCAGTATAGAAGGTACTAGGGACTGGGAAGGAGGAAATGAGGAGTTACTGCTTAATGGGTACAGAGTCTCTGTTTGAAATGATGAAAAGATCTGGAAATAGATTGTACATTTAAAAATGGGTGAAAGGGTAAATTTTATGTTATGTGTATTTTATCACTTTGCATTTTGATAAAGTACACACAGAATGTGAGGAGACAGCCACAGGAAGGTCATGCCTCAGGTGAATTCCTAACAGAAAGGTAGTGGTGGGGAATCCACACATCAAAGTGCCGAGACCAGCTCAGTCGGGGAGACCCTAACCCAGTAGCACTAGAGGAATTAAAGACACACACACAAAAATATAGAGGTGTAAGTGGAAAATCAGGGGTCTCACAGCCTTCAGAGCTGACAGCCCCAGAGATTTACCCATGTATTTATTAACAGCAAGCCAGTCATTAGCATTGTTTCTACAGATATTAGATTAACTAAAAGTATCCCTTATGGGAAATGAAGGGATGGGCCAAAATAAAGGGATGAGTTGGACTAGTTACCTGCAGCAGGAGCATGTCCTTAAGACACAGATCACTCATGCTATTGTTTGTGGCTTAAGACTGCCTTTAAGCGGTTTTCTGCCCTGGGCGGGCCAGGTGTTCCTTGCCCTCATTCTGGTAAACCCACAACCTTCCAGTGTGGGCGTTATGGCCATCATGAACATGTCACAGTGCTGCAGGGATTTTATGGCCAGTTTTGGGGCCAGTTTATGGCCAGATTTTGAGAGGCCTGTTCCCAACACAAAGAGACAAGCACCAAGAGGAAGAAATGCAAGATCCTATAGGAAAAACAGAGAATACCTCTAAACTCCACCTCTCCGACAACGCCCAAGTCATCTAGTCCAAAAATCATACTTTGCTTACACTGACAGAAGTACGCACGCTGGAATTACAAATCTTGGATATAATCCCAAGCTTGTTGTAACAGAAAGGACACAGAAATCAGCCTAAAGGGAGTCCCAAAGGCCAATCCTGGGACAACTTCAGCATCAAAATAAATAATTGATATTAACAGATTACAGGCCATTGAATAAAATAGAAAACTATGCTTCCAGAATCATAGAAACACACATATACAGAGAATATAAAACTCTTCTTCAAAGCAGAAAGCCAATTAACAAGTGTAGAAGAAACAATGGAATTACACAATCTTCATTTGGAAGCAATTATAATAAGTGATTAAATCAAGTGTCATCAATGGATGAAACTAGAGGATCAAGTTTATTGTTTTTTGTTTTTTTTTGAGATGGAGTTTTGCTCTTGTTGCCCAGGCTGGAGTGCAAAAGCACAATCTCAGCTCATTGCAATCTCCATCTCCCGGGTTAAAGCAATTCTCCTGACTCAGCCTCCCAAGTAACTGGGATTACACGCATGCACCACCATGCCCGGCTAATTTTGTATTTTTTTAGTATAGATGGGGTTTCTCCATGTTGGTCAGGCTGGACTCAAACTCCCAACCTCAGGTGATCCGCCAGCCTCGGCCTCCCAAAGTGCTGGGATTACAGGCATGAGCCACCGCACCGGACTGAGAATCAAGTTTTTAAAACAATGTTTTATATATTATAATTTATTTTATATTATGTTATTTTTAAATCATTTTTAGAGACAGGGTCTTACTCTGTGGCCCAGGCTGCAGTGCAGTGGCATGATCACAGCTCATTGCTGCCTCAGACTCCCAGGTTCAAGCGATCAACACACTTCAGCCTCCTGAGTAGCTGGGACTGCAGGCACATGCTACCATGCACAGATAGTTTACTTTTTGTAGAGATGGGGTCTCACCATGTTTCCCATGGTCTCAAACTCTTGGCTTCAAGCAATCCTCCCACCTCAGCCTCCCAAAGTGCTGGGATACAGGCATGAGCCACTGTGTCTGGCCTTGGTAAATCAAGTTTGACAAGTAAAAATACATATACATACACTCATAGGATTTCCTGTTAAGAGACTGATGATTATAAAAGGAAGATTGTAACTTCACAGTGCAAAATCTGGCAGATACCATCTGAATGAAGACAGCAAAGTTAAAATGACCAGCAATTGGAGTAAATCACAATCCCCCAATAGGGTGTGATGATGAACTCAGAATACAGTATTACTTCCATGGTTTCCTTACCAAAAAAGCATAGCATAGGCCCAGCACAGGGGCTCACGCCTGTAATCCCAGCACTTTGGGAGGCCGAGGCAGGTGGATCATGAGGTCAGGAGTTCAAGACCAGCCTGCCGAAGATAGTGAAACCCCATCTCTACTAAAAAAAAAAAAAAAAAAATTAGCCGGCCGTGGTAGCAGGTGCCTGTAATCTCAGCTACTGGAGAGGCTGAGGAAGAGAACTGCTTGAACCCAGGAGGTGGAGGTTGCAGTGAGCTGAGATTGCACCACTGCACTCCAGCCTGGGTGACAGAGCAAGACTCTGTCTCAAAAAAAAAAAAGCAAAAAACAAACAAAAAAACGCATAGCATAAATCTAATCATGAAGAAGCATCAGACAGGTCCAATGAAGGGCCAGACTAGAAAACAACTGGCCTGTTCATTTTTCCTAGACCTATTCATGAGAAAACACCTGATCATGTGGCAGCCAGTAATAGCCCCAAACCACATGAAAAGAAGGGCATTTTAAGTAATTTCTTTGAATACAGTACATCAGGCATGTCAACCATATTATAAAAGTTAAAACATATTCTGCATTTTTCAGGTTGCTTTGAAACGACCTGTTAGGAAGCCATGAAAATGGACATTTTTCTTTTTGCCTAGATTCTGAACAAGTCTGTTGAGAAGTGTTGAGTCTTAACAAGAGAACTTGGGCAAAGAAAATGTGTTGACAACTTAAAGATGATTGTTAATTCTTTCTCTTCCTATTTATCTTAAGGTACACATAATTTACCGGGCACTTCCTTACTTTGGTTAGGAACCAATGTTCTCTTTATCTGGAGATCTAGGGAGATGAATGAGAAGGGAAGATTATAGACAGGTGAGAAAAGTGTTGATAGCTTTGTTAATGAGACACATTCCTGTTGAGCAGTGGCCTGAAGAAGGCTCTGATGGTGGCAGGGCTGTTAGGTACAACCTTTAAGCTCATTCCATATTAACCTTCATGTTCACATCACCCTGGGTGATCAGGTTTCAGGATCTCTGTTTTATTCCTCCTCAACTCACCAGGATTGAGTTGGACAAATTCTCTTAAAGTTCTTTTTACTGACATACCCAATGGCTCTGGCTGGCTGGAGCAGCCTCTTCCTGAAGACGGAGTCTCTCTCAAGCACCAAGCAAGTAGAGGAAGACTCTGTGCTTCTCCCCAAGTCATCATCTCCTTGCCTCACACCAGAGTTTTGTAAAGTCCCTGTCCTTTATGTATGTGGTAGCTAGTCTCCATACACAGTTCCCCAGTGAACCATGCCCTTGGCATTCAGTTTATTAAACTACTCTTGAATACGGGCCAAATTTGACTCATTCTCAATCAATTGTATACAGAATTAAAGCTGGCTTTTAAGATCTGCAACTTCTACCTAGCTCTCTTGGAATACTTGCTCTTGGGACACTCCCTCTCAGAAATCAACCCCCATTCTGTAAGAAGCCCAAGCCACATGGAGTAGCCCAAGCCACATGGAGTAGCCCAAGCCAGCTCTCACCCAGCAGTTACCAGCAACTGCCAGCCATCCTGAAGCCCAGTTTAGCTTCAGCCCCAGCCGCTCTGATGGCACAGCTACTAGACAGCAAGTAAGAACCTCCCAGCTAAGCCCCAACATGGGCTCATGACAGACAATACATTGTTGTCCAACACTACATTTGGGGCGATTCGTCCTACAGCAATGGATAACTACAATATATTCTCAATCATTTGATGTTATTTAAATATCTTTAAAACATGTACATATCTTTTTTTTTTTTTTTTTTTTTTTTTTTGAGGAAGAGTCTTGTTCTGTCACCCAGGCTGGAATGTAGTGGCACGATCTTGGCTCACTGCAGCCTCTGCCTCCTGATCAAGTGATTCTCCTGCCTCAGCCTCCCGAGTAGCTGAGACTACAGGCATGTGCCACCACACCCAGCTAATTTTTTGTATTTTTAGTAGAGATGGGGTTTCACCATGTTAGCTAGGATGGCCCTGATCTCCTGACCTCGTGATCTGCCTGCCTCAGCCTCCCAAAGTGCTGGGATTACAGGCGTGAGCCACTGCGCCCGGCCAGTATATACCTTTTAACATATAATTTTGCAAAAAAATTGTATCATACCCTATGTAGTTTGCCAATGACTTTTAAAAACTCAAAAATGTGTTTTTCAATCTATCCGTTTTTTTGTTTTAGAGACATTGTCTTGCTATGTTGCCCAGGTTGGTCTTGGACACCTGGGCAACAGTGATCCTCCTGCCTCAGCAGAGTAGCTGGGACTACAGATGTGCTCCACCATGCCAGCTTCATCCATGTTTTGCTTCACTTTATTCCTTTTCACTGCTGTTTCTACTGTGTTAATATTCCAAAATATATCCATTCTCCTAATTAATGGACATTCAGACTACTTACAATCATTTGGTGTGATGATCAGTGCTGCTAAGAATATCTTTATACATCCCTTGATGCCCACATGCAATCATTTCTCCAGTGCATCTATGCAGATGTCCACAACACGCACAAGTTCAGCTTTATGTCAGTCATCTCTGACTTATATTCCCACTACTACTGAATTTCTTATTCCACATACATCCTGAAGCTCAGTATTGTCACACATCCTAATTTTTCCTCATTTGTGGTTGTAAAATCATACATTACCGTGGCCTTAATTTGCATTTTAACTACTAATGAAGTTAGTTACCTTTTCGTGTTTCTGGAAATTTGTATTTTCTTTTCTGTGAAATAAGAAGTCATGTATTTAGCCCATTTTCCTAGTGTTATTATTGATTTGTACAAATTAGTATTTCTGGATTATAGTAGTTTTGTTGGGCATACTGTAGAAAGATCGATTTTGTGTCTTGACTTTTTTCACCTCCGTTTTTGTATACTTTGGTAAGAAGTTCTTTCATGTGAGCAAATAAATCAAAAATTTTATATAGCTAATTTGTAGCCTGTTTAAGAAATCTTTCCCAATCTCAAGAACATAAAATTATTCCTTTACATATTCCTCCAAGTTATTCAGTTTTTGCTTTTCATATAATTGTTATGGTGAGGGTAGGGATCTAATTTTTTTTCTGTGAATCATTTCTGTCTCAGAGCCAATTTTGAACAGTTCATTCTTTTTGTTTTTTGAGACAGTCCTGTCACCCAGGCTGCAGTGCAGTGGCATGATCTCGGCTCAGTGCAACCTCTGCCTCCTTGGGGTCAAGCAATTATCTTGCCTCAGCCTCCTCAGTAGCTGTGATTACAGGCATGTGCCACCACACCCGGCTAATTTTTGTAGTTTTAGTAGAGACAGAGTTTCGCCATGTTGACCAGTCTGGCCTCGAATTCCTGACCTAAGGTGATCCACCCACCTTAGTCTCCCAAAGTGGTGGGATTACAGGCGTGAGCTACTGTGCCCAGCTACAGTTTATTCTTTCTCGGTATTTCTTGTCATTAATGCTTCTAACATCTTACCATTCTTTTTCAGTAGGCTTTCTATAAATGAACTTTTATCATGTTATTAACTATGCTTAGGTGCTCTGGATTACGTTTGCTAATGATTTGCTTGGGATTTCACCTCTTGTTCATAGGTAATATTGGCCTATAATATTCATTTCTTGTGCTTTACCTGGCTTTGGCACTGGGTTATATTAGCAAAATTGTGCTATTACATTATCTCCTCTGGGAGACTTTCCATAAAACTTGATCTATCTGTTACTTCAAGTTTTGACAGATCTTGTTTTAAAAAATAACTTGGCCTAATGTTCTCTTTGTGTGATTTTAATTCAGATTTAACTTTTTGATGATTTTAAAACTACTAATAGTTAGGGAAGTTCTACTTCCCTAGGAATTTTTACAACTTAGGTAGAGAAAAAAAACTGAACAGTTGTGGGAAGTAAGGATTAGAGATGAAGCATTCAATGATCCAGAAAAGTCTGTTCTTCACAAGTCTGAAACAATGAGACTGAGTAACCCAGGAGGCAAAAGCTGTATTCAGTGATTTTTGCTATGCTCCCAATAACACTTTCCTATTTTTTTTTTTTAATGAGATGGAGTCTCGCTCTGTTGCCCAGGCTGGAGAGTAGTGGCACGATCTCGGCTCACTGCAAGCTCCACCTCCCAGGTTCACATCATTCTCCTGCCTCAGCCTCCCAAGTAGCTGGGACTACAGGCGCCCGCCACCATGGCCGGCTAATTTTTTTTTTTTTTTTGTATTTTTAGTGGAGACGTGGTTTCACCATGTTAGCCAGGATGGTCTCGATCTCCTGACCTCATGATCTGCCCGTCTTGGCCTCCCAAAGTGCCGGGATTACAGGCGTGAGCCACTGCACCCAGCCAGTTTTCTATTTTTTAAAGTTCCTTGGCAGAAAAACTTAGCACTTTATGAAATGGGTCGTTTCAGCCCTTAAGTGCTTGCCCCCTCCTGATAAACTTGGCTAAACTAGATGTTAGCCTCTGTAAAGCCCAACAATTTTGACTTGTGAGATAACTGTTTTTAGCTTGCTAATCTTATGATTCACATTTTAGAAATGCTGAAATGAGCTAAATCACTTGTTGAAGAGTGTAAGTCCATTTGCTGGAAGAAAGAGTATCTGAACTCAGAGCCTAAATATTTGCCCAGTGACCTTTAGAGTGTGGGGAGAAAGTGAACCTTGTCTGATGAAGGCGAAAAAGTGGAAGTAAGGGTGAAAATCATCTGGTTCATTTTACCTCCAAGGATGATGACCTGAGTTCTACATTGTTCCTGGGCCTTCTGGTGGCTGGTAACCAGAAAGCTCACAGAAGCAGGCAGACCCTGGGAGCTGAGCTGTGCTTGCTATTGGCTACATTCTGAGATAATTTATAACATTTTTCAGTAAATTGCAAAAGCAGTGGTTGTCTGAATGACCTTTACTTATCAATTTAATACAGCAAAGGTAATCACTTTTAATGAGAAAAACAAGTGAAATACCATGCGTTCTGTGACTTAAAGTGACTTTAGATCTGACTCAGAGTTTGGAACAAGTAGTCAGGAAGAAAACGCAAAGACAGTACGTCTGCATAGTTTATGGAGTGATTTTCTTCTCAGGTGAATGGCTTAGAAAGCAGAGAAACAATTCAAAGTCTTTACCATGAAGTGCAGAATCTGCTTTAAGATTATTAAAAAACATTTTAGTGACAGTGAGGTAGCTATGGGTCACCTGTACATATTTCTTTTCTAAAACATTCTTTCTAGTACCACTGGCTTGCATAATAGTTTCAAAAAATAGATTCCTAGATTTATCTGTGTCTGGATTTTATGGCTGTACTTGTACATAAACAGCAGGCTTCCCAGTGATGCTCAGGAAAGCTGGTGGCTGTTATCGTACATCACTAGACAATCAAATACTAACCCTGCAATCTTAAAAATTCTCCATTTCATGGTAATAACTTAAGAACATATGAATAAACATTTTATAGAAGCTTTTCTAGCATTCCCAAGGTTACCCTGCATCATGAAGTCTCTGATGTGTGATGAGGTCTAATGCTGAAGTTTTACCTATGATTAACTACTCTTCATCACTTTCTCCCCACAATGAATTTTTTGATACTCAGTATGGAATATAACTTCAGTTCCTACATGCATTTATACAGTTTTTCTCAATTATGAGTCCTTTGATGATTAGTAAGAGATGAGCTCTGACTAAAAGCCTTCCCACATTCTTTACATTTATAAGGTTTTTCCCCTGTATGAATTCTCATGTGTGTCATAAGGGATGAACTCTGTCTGAAGGCTTTCCCACACACTTTACAATTATATGGTTTCTCTCCAGTATGAATTCTCTGGTGCTGAATTAGAGCTGAGCTTTGGTTGAAGGCTTTCTCACAGTCATTACATTTATAAGGTTTTTCTCCAGTATGAATTTTTCGATGAGTATTAACGCCTGAGTGGGAACTGAAGGCTTTTCCACATTCCTTACAATTATATGGTTTCTCTCCAGTGTGAATTCTGTGATGTATATTAAGCCGTGAAATCCAAGAGAAGGCTTTCCCACATTCATTACATTTGTAGGGTTTTTCTCCAGTGTGAATTCTTTGATGTTGTATGAGAGCTGAGCTTTGGCTGAAGGCTTTCCCACATTCTTTGCATGCATATGGTTTCTCACCAGTGTGAATTCTCTGATGTATGATAAGGGCTGAGTGATAGCTGAATACTTTTCCACACTCGTTACAATGAAAGGGTTTCTCTCCAGTATGAATTCGATGGTGCCTACTTAGCCGCGATATTGAAGTGAAGGCTTTCCCACACTGAGTACATTCATACGGTTTCTCCCCAGTATGAATTCTGTGGTGCTGAATGAGAGATGAGCACTGACTGAAGGCCCTCCCACATTCATTACACTTATAGGGCTTCTCTCCTGTGTGAATTCGCTGGTGATTATTAAGAGATGAACTACCTTTAAATGTTTTTCCACATTCCTTGCATTTATAAGGTCTCTCTCCAGTATGCATTCTCTGGTGTCCAATAAGAGATGTGGTGAAACTGAAGGCTTTTCCACATTCACTACATATATAAGGTTTCTCTCCTGTATGAACCCTCAAGTGCTGAGTTAGGGATGAGCTTTGGCTGAAGGCTTTCCTACATTCCTTACATTTATAGAGCTTCTCTCCAGTGTGGATTCTCTGGTGTTTACTCAGGGAGGAACTGTGGAGGAAGATTTTCCCACAGATATTACATTTATAACATTTACGCACTGTGTTGACCCCCAGTTGTTTAAAGAGAACTGAATACTGCTGTGAACGGGGTCTCCTTCCTCTGGAAACTATTCTCGGTTTTCTAATAAGCGATGATTTTAGACCAAGATTTTTCCCAAATTCAACACCTTTAAAGCTCCTCTCCTTCATGTAGACTTTTTTGATGGTAACTAACACTTTACTGAAAAGTCTGTTCTTTTTGCCTTGTTGCTTCTCTAACTTATCTTCATTTATGTAGGTCTTCTCCAACTTGAAGTCAAATGTGCCATCAATTATGAGTTTTTTCATGACTTCCTGATTTTCTTCTTTAGAAACTATGGTTCCAAACAAGCTTTCCCATCCTAAAGTAGACAAAACATATAAGTCTCTCTTGAACTCAGAATTTTAAAAAGTGACATAAAAACGCACAAGGATAGTTAAAAAATATAAAGCCTTGAAATCTTAGAAAAGGATGGGAAAAAGAAGAGGAGGAAGGAAGCAGGATGACAGACATGTGGGTGGGAAGGGTCTGAAGAAACCTACATATAGGTGGGCTGAGGAAATTAGGGGACAACAGGAAGAGCCAGGCTCGATCTATTAACAAAGCACAGCTCGCTAGGCTATGAGGCCCTTCTGAACACAGCCTGTGTCCCTCAGCGTCATCTCCCAGGGCAGCTACCAGTGCACTCAGGTAAATACCAAGGGAAAAACTGCAGAGGGGCTAAAATTAAATGAAAGAGAAGAGCTCCGCCAAACACAGGATGTCAAGCAGTGCTGCTCTAGGCCTCCTCAGAATGCTGTAAATAATGGCATCCACTTACTCAAGTAATACCTACTGAGTGCCTACTGTGTGCTACGCAAACGTTAAGACTCTGAGAATGACAGGGCACAAGCCAGACAAGGGCCTACTCTCAAGGTTTTCATTCCAGCAGTGTGATACAGACAATGACCAAGTAACAAATCAACAGCAGTACAAAGGAGCAATGAGAACTGTAAGAAAACACGAACGAAGCACTGTGTAATAAGAGTGAATAGGCAACTATTTTAAACTGGGTGATGAGAAAATGAAATTAAAGATGAGATCTAAATAACAAGCGCTGGCCAGACAAAAATTAGGGTATAAAGGTGATTCCAGTCAGAAAGAACAGTAACACAAAGGCCCTAGGCAGGAATAGCTTCCTGTTTTCCAGGACATATAGCAGTCCATGATAGCTGAAGCAGAGTGAACAAGAAGAGAGTGTCACAGATGAGGAAAAGAGGTGGGCCAGGCTATATTGTGGAGCGTTTTCTAGGATACAGGAAGATATTGGAAGTTCATCAGCATCACTGAGGGCTAGAAGGGACATGAAATGATGTGGTTTTTGTTTAAAAAGGATCACTCTGGTTGCTATATGAAAAACAAACTGTAATGGGGCCGGGGAGAAAGAGAACAAGGGCAGCTGCAGAACAGGCAATGAGGCCGCTGCACTCTTCCTGGATGAAGATGGTGGTGGCTGACACTGGCATGTGGTGATAAGAGACGGAAAGAGGTGGGCGTATCTGGGATGTTCTGCAAGTAGCACTGGCAGGTATCTTCACCTACGAATAGAGCGCAGAGGCAATGAAAGAGGGGACTCAAGGATGACTCCTAGCTTTTGGTCTGGGCAACTCAATGGACACCAACACCATTATCATGATATTGGGGAATACTGGGAGAAAAGAACATTATTGAGAGTAATTTTTTGTCTACCTTTTTGGTTACTTAAGATACAGTACAAGAAATGGAATCATTGATTCAAAAGAAATGTATTTCCTTTTGTATTTTATGAAACAGCTTTTATTTTCTTAACTACAAAAGAAATATATCATCATAAGAAAAACACAGAAAACTATAAAAATGAACACATAGCTCACCCATAAATACATCATGCAATTGTAATCACTATCATATGTGGGACATAGCTCACCAGAATTTTCTGCATATAAAAAATCACTTAATTAAAAAATTAAAATGGATTGAAATTAAGCTTCCTTTACCTCCATTTCACTTAAAAATCATGAGCTTCTCTCCATGTCAATAAATGTAGGCTGACATCATCATTTTAATGGCAATATAATATGTCCAATGCATGAAAACATCATCATTTACTAAATCCCTTTTTGAGAGTCATTTACCCTCCTCCTTTTGTGGCAGTGATGCCTCATGTTATAACAAACATTCTTTTACAACATCTTTGTAACTCTGCACAGTTATCTGTGCAGAAATTATCTTAACATTTCTACACTTGGAATTGATTTTAATAAAACCAGACCATCCTCAGAAAGACTACCAGTTGCAGTCCCACTAACGATACTGCTTATCACTCACAGCAGTGGCAACACATTGGGTATCTATTTCTTAATCCTTGGTAATAAGGGAAAAATGGTAACTTGTGCTTCGTTGGAATTTCATTGATTTTAATTTAATGAAGTTGAATAGTGCTTCAAAAAATCCCTTGTGGATTTTTAATCCACATGCCTGGCCTTTTCAATCACAATACTCATGTCTTTGTACTGTGATGATTTACTCTTGGTACCTTTGCCTCTTTATATTATGGCTTTGTATTCCCATAACCATCTTAGCAATATTAGTAACAGAGAAAAACTGGTAACTAAAATTTCCAAAAGGAAGACTGTTTAATTGGCTTAACATACAATATAGTCCTCTCAATGAGGTAGGCCTCTATTCACTGAGGGCTGAATAACTGAATGACATTCACAATTAAAACAGGATCAAGAACAAACTGTATAATCAATCTTTCTGTATCTCTCTCTCACTGTGTCTGTCTCTCACACACAAACACATTTAAGCAAATATGCAGTTTGAATGGGTAATAAACAACAATAATTGATCATAGTTGGTAAAATTCCAGGTGACTTTTTTTTGCTCCTATTTTTACAACAGCATGTAGAATTTGTACAAATTTAAAATAATTAATTTTTAAAAATGCTTGTAAAACAACACTGACAATGTGATACCAATGATTTATTTGCCAACCAGAAAGCTCAGAGCGAAATTTGAAACTCATTTATAGCTACCATTCTGGTCCTTACTACAGATCTATTTATTTTCTAGATGTCTGATTGAATTTCTATTTTATTGTATCACTACTCTTGCAGTCAATTGCCTCACATTGTTGGTGGAATGTGGCAGAAACAAAAGATCCCTGAAATGAAAGGAAGGACTGAATCTTCAAAGCAAAGAGGCCAGTAAAGTGCCAAAGAACAAAGAAAAAAAAATACTCTTTCATATAACCTAATGAAAAGTCTGAATTCCAAAGATAAAGATGATGTCCTGTAAGATTCCAAAGAGAAGACAGAAAAGAAAAAACAAGTTACCTATACAGGAAATAGAATCTGACTAATGGGATTATTTGTCAGCAGCACTCCATGCCCAAAGACAGTGGAGCAGTTTGGACAATGCAGAGAGGAAAAAAAAAAAAAAAAACAGATGCCAGAATTCTAGATCCAAAACAACAAATCTCAGAGGAGAGAAAAAAACAACTGATTTTTGACACGTACAGATATTGCACACATGAACCTTTTTTGAAAACCGTTACCCAAGAAAATATTCTAGTCGAGCCAAAGGGAAAAATGTGAAGACAGAGTTCACGAATGGAAACGCAAAAGTGAACTGGCCCAGAAAGCCCACGCCCTGCCCAGGTGAGAAAAAAACACCAGACACGTGGTAAAGCTCAACAGAGGCCTCCTCTACTGCCAGAAGCATAGACAGAATTCACAGGAGAATGAATGCGGAAGCTGATAATGCAGTCATCCAAGGGCGTATAGGGAAAAAGTGACATGCCTTAGGAGCTGGGATCTGGGATGCATTATTTTCTAAATTTTCACAGAAAAGAGAAGAATAGCGTGATGAGTATCCGGAAGCCCACTCACATTCCGTAACTGTTACCGTTTGTCACACCTTCTTTCCCTCTTTCATGTATGTAAATACATACACATATATCTGCTTTTTTCCCCCTTTTGAACCATGTATAATTAAGTTGTACACCAAAGAAATCAAAGCAAAAGATGGTTCCAAGATGAAACTATGAGGAATGTATTGTAGTGATTAAAAAAAAACAATGTAATGTTCAAGCCACTAAGGAAAATAATTTAGGAAAAGAATCAATCCAGTAAAAGCAAGGATAAAGGAAGATAAAAGAATTATAAACCTTTACACATGATATACTGTATTACATATTCTGCAAATTACAAGATATCTGAAAACAGTGCAACCCATATTGGGAGAATTCAACCCTCCTCTGAACATGATGGATCAAGTAATCAAAAGAGAAAGGATCTACCTTCCCAGCATTTCCCCCTGGCCTGGCACATCAAGGAGACCCTTGAGCGCAGCCTCCTCGCTGTGCCCTGGCAGTGGGAAAATGTTATGCCCATCTCCCAATTACTCTGTCACTCACCGAGATGTGCGCCTTGGGGAACTCCACTCTCCACCATCCAGGGGTCTTCTCCTTGCTCTAACTGGGAGATGACCTTTGGCTTGGAAAAGAGAATCCCTGTTCATGAACAAGAAAGAAACGTGAGCGGCCATCGTAGCAGGCGGGTCCAGCCCCAGAGTGCCCAGGGCAGAGGGGCAGTACAGGGAAGGAGGAGGTTTGTTCTGAGAGGCTTCAAACTGGGCTCCTAGAGGACAACCAGGAGATGGTCCCAGGAAGAAAGTCAGGGCTCTGGTTGTGCACTCCTCTCAGCAGGAACACCCTGTGGGGCTCAGGGAACAGAGCTCAGTGGGCAGAAGACAGGAAAAGCAGAGAAAAGACCCCTTCATCAACTCTACTAAGCCAAGGTCTCTCCATACAACCAAGGGGAATGGCAATGGCCACTCTTGGAGCCCACCTGTGAGCCGACCTGGCCAAGCCCTCCAAATGTGCCCCCTGAGGGTGCTAAGGTGCTCTCCTGGCAGATTCTGCATCAGGAGGAAAGTTCCTTACCCAGTGAGACCAGGATGCTGTAGTTCTCCAGCATCACCTCCCGGTACAAGGCTCTCTGGGCAGAGTCCAGGTGCAACCACTCGTCCTGGCTGAAGAACACGGCCACATCCCTGAACGTCACGGACTCCTGGAATGGCAAACCCACTCCTGTTCATCCAGGACTGTCCCCACAACGAGAAGACTGAGAAGCAACCCTGTCACAACTTAGGGTTCTAAGTATTTCAAGTGTTTCTGGACAACTTTTCAGTTACCAAGCACACATTTATCATTTACCTATGGTGAGTGAAACACCGTCCCCTCAGGAAGCTTGAACACAGAGGCCAACCAAGAGAAGCACTTGAACCCATGAAACAAAATCAGAGCAAGAAAACACTGAACTTTAGATTTGGAAACGTCCGATCACCTAGACCAAACCCTCATCTTACAGGTCACACCTGACAGTCAGGTTTCGGAAGGAGGCACCAGCACATTCACTGAGGGAGATATAGGTGGAACACCACCAGGCTTGCTGGGAAAGGCGGTCACTGAGTCCTAGTTCTGCCTCAACTCGGGCCATCTCTATGAGTCCTGGGAAAGATGACACTGACATTCACAGTAGGGAAGGCTATGAGAATGTTCCAGGCATGGCTGTGTCAGGAGAGGTCCCAGGTGGTGGGCTACATAACCTTTCAAGCCAGAGGAGAAGGCTATGGTCAGTAGTCTCCCTCCCCACCCCAGAAGCTCCTGTTCTTCTATCTCTCTCCTCCTTCACTGGATGGCATGTTACTGCTCTGAACTAGGGCCATCTCCCCTTCTTGAGAGTCATCTTCTTGGCTGGGCACAGTGGCTTACGCCTATAATCCCAGCACTTTGGGAGGCCGAGAAAGGAGGATTACTTGAGCCCAGAAGTTCAAGACCGGCCTGGGCAACATAGAGAGACCTCATCTCTGCAAAAAATAATTTTTTTTTAATTAATTGGGTGTGGTGGCATGCGCCTGTAGTCCCGGTTATTCAGAAGGCTGAGACAAAAGGCTTGCCTGAGCCCAGGAGGTCGAGGCTGCAGTGACGTGTGATCACACTACTGCACTCCAGCCTGGGCAACAGAGTAAGATCCTGTCTCTTAAAAAACAAAACAAAACGAATCATCTTAAAAAAGCTTACTAGAAAATTCTAAAAGATCAATAAGCAAAACAACAAGAAGTGCTCATCTAACTTTCTACCACCAGAAAAAGTTAACTTTTTGCTATGTCTCTTCAGGTGATTTTCATGCAAATATGGTTCTATATTTAAATAAAAATAAAATCACATTATACAAATAACAGCATCCTGGTCACCACTGTTTACATGCTGCCCAGTAGTTCAGTGTACAGATGATCTAGTTTATGTAACTCCCCTAGCACTGGATGTTTAGGTTGTTTGCACTTTGTTCATACTCTAGAAATGCTGAATTGAGCATCCTGTACAGAATCACAAAGGCGTACAAAGCTTATCTCCTTCAGACATATTTTTCTTTCTTTGTTTTTTTTTTTTTTTTTTTGAGATGGAGTCTTGCTCTGTCACCAGGCTGGAGTGCAATGGCACAATCTCAGCTCACTGCAACCTCCACCTTCCGGGTTCAAGTGATTCTCCTGCCTCAGCCTCCGGACTAACTGGGATTACAGGAGCGCACCACCAGACCCACCACACCTGGCTTTTTTTTTTTTTGAGACGGAGTCTCGCTGTGTCACGCAGGCTGGAGTGCAGTGGCATGATCTCCGCTCGCTTCAACCCCTGCCTCCCGGGTTCAAGTGATTCTCCTGCCTCAGCCTCCAGAGCAGTTGGGACTATAGGCATGCACCACCATCCCTAGCTAACTTCTGTATTTTTAGTAGAGACCGGGTTTCACCATGTTGGTCAGGCTGGTCTTGAACTTCTGACCTCAAGTGATCTGCCCACCTTGGCCTCCCAAGGTCCTGGGAATACAGGGCCTCTCTTTTTCAAATTCCCCGTGTTAGGAAGGAATTATTTAACTCCTCCGTGTCTTTGTCCTCCACAGGGCAAAAACACCTGGATCTTTCACAAAGCTCTGGTAGTGGCAGTGGCCTGGCATTGGAGCCCCATTAAATTCTTTGTCAAAAAGCATGAGACTGGGGGCCGGGCGCGGTGGCTCACGCCCATAGTCCCAACACTTTAGGAGGCTGAGGCGGGCAGATTGCTTGAGGTCAGGAGTTCAAGACCAGCCTTGCCAACTTGTTGAAGCCTGGTCTCTACTAAAAATACAAAAATTAGCTGGGTGTGGTGGCACACATGCCTGTAGTCCCAGCTACCAGGGAGGTTGAGGCTGCAGTGAGCCATGTCCGTGCCACTGCACTCCAGCCTGGGTAACAGAGTGAGACCCTGTCTCAAAAAAGGGAAAGAAAAAAAAAAAAAAGCATGAGACAGGCTCTGAGGCAAGGGAAACACCTTCCTTCCAGAGTTTCTCAGCTACCAAGCCCTCTGGTCCTTCCCTGAGCTTCACTGGGTAGAGAAGCTCAACAACAGATGAAGAAGTTTACCACGTCTAGACCCTGAAGGCAGTTCAAGCAAAAAGAAGCCTTCACTCACCTGTACATGGGCTGGCAGCAACCTCCTTGCCATTTCTCCCTCCCTGCTGCCTCTCTTGGAGAAGGCACCTGGAATGGAGAAAAAAGCTGTGAGGTCTTTTCATCCAGCCTGCATGCCCACCCTCATTAGGCCAGACCAGGTTAGAAGCCATAAGCTGAGCACCTGCAGAGAAGGAGCCTGGAACTGCCCAGGCCAGAGGGGCCCTAAGTCCGGCCACTTAAACCAGTGTGGGAAGCAGGTTCAGAGTCACCGGGCCTGCTACCTTTCTGCCAGTGCTTTACGATAAAGACGAAAGGAGCGAAGGGATGAAGACCATCTGCCGTGCCTTAACAGGGTCAAGGGCAGAATCAGGCAAGGCTCATTCAGATAAAGTAATAGGAAATGACACAATATTCCACACATCTGCACTTGGATGTTGTTCAATACGAAAAACAGCAGTTGAAGAACTGATGCTCTTTTTTAGGAACAGCCAACCAAAAATTAGTCCTCTTTTCTTCCTCTTGTAAGATTTACTTCCTTTATCAAAAACAGTTATCAAAGCTGCTTAAAGGTAGCGTTACCCATTCTCCCTGGCCCCAAAAAAACAAGGGCGCAAGAAAACAGCATCACTAGCTAGAAATTGATTTAAAATTTAGAGAAATGGGAAGAAACGTAGCAAGTGGACATGGTTACGGTAAATAAAAAAAGAAATAGTTAAATCACTCTAGGACTGGCTGTAGGAAAACACTGCCAAACGTGCAAGACTGCCAAAAACGAGTAAATCTAAAGTTTAAACTCCGGGAAACGGAGTAGGGGGAGGCTTAAACCCACAAACACTAAGAGCGAAAAACCGCCCGGAGGGCTCCGGACCCTGAACCGAGGCGGCATTTTGCAGTTTCTGTTCTGGAGCCGTTTCCCCCGGAGTCCGGCCCAGGCTGCGGCCCAGGAGTCCAGCGGCGTCGAAGCGCCCTCCCGGCCTCCGCCAGGCCCTTCCCAGGCCACGCCCCCTCCGGGGCCGGGTTCACCTGCCGAGGCCGCCCCGGCTCGGACGCCCGGAGCCGGGGACTCGGCAGACACGCGCAGAGGCCAGCCCTCGTCCTGGTCCCGCCGCGGCAGCCGCACGCCCCGGGCCCGCCCTCACCGGCAGCCTGTACCTGGGCCCGCCTCGGCGGGGGGCGCGCAGCTCCACACCGCACAAGAGGCGAGCGGAACACCTAATTCAGAGACGTTTCCCGTCGCTGCCGGGCGCAACTGCGCCTGCGCGCCGGAGAGCCGACGGGTTTCCCTGGCTGAACCGCAGCGTTTGTCCCTCCGGACTTCATTTCCCAGACGTCGCTGCGGCACCACCACTTACGGTGTCCGAGAGAGAACCACAGCGCCGAGAGCGGAGAACGCGGTCGGGCTGTGGAGTTCGAGAAGGCTGAAGCCGAGTCCCTCAGCTTGGGCTCCAACTACTCTCCCTCCGCTAAACCACCCATTGTATTCGTAATTAGAATGACAAAAATAGTAAGACGGAAAAGTGAGTATGAATTTTTAAATCTGGAAGACTAGCCGCTGCTGATTATTCGCAGGTGGTGACAGAACTATTACAGTCCATTCTGCGATTTTAATTAAAAATGAATTATGTCTAAATTTTATAATCTCGGCCGGGCGCGGTGGCTTATGCCTGTAATCGCAGCACTTTGGGAGGCCGAGGTGGGCGGATCACAAGGTCAGGAGACCGAGACCATCTTGGCCAACATGGTGCAACCCTGTCTCTACGAAAACACGAAAAATTAGTCGGGCGTGGTGGCACATGCCTGTAATCCCAGCTATTCGGGAGGCTGAGGCAGGAGAATCGCTTGAACCTGGGAGGCGAAGGTTGCGGTGAGCTCAGATCGCGCCATTGCACTCCAGCCTGGGTGACAGAGCAAGACTCTGTCTCAAATAAATAAATAAATAAATAAATAAATTTTTGTAATCTTTACATATTTACTGGCACTCAGAGTAAAACAAAAGCATAAGCCTAGTATTTCCCTCTTCATGGCACTCACTTCTTTTGAAGTGACTTCTTTAAAACGTAAAATAAAGCCCAACTCCCAGCGCTATCATCACAACTGCATCCTCGGTGACCGGCACTGTACACGCCAAATACTATGTGCTCAGAAAGTGTTGATTTTTAAAATATCAAACATTAGCGTTTACAGAGACAAACCTAAACACAAAGGGTACTTGAAGATAGAAAATGCAGAGAGGGACTAAGAGATATCAGGTAGATAATATGAAAAAGAAATCTTGGATCACGATGTTACAACAATACAAAGATTATTGCAATGTAAAAATAATTAAATCGAACAAAATGGATGTTTTATATTGTTAAAAGATAATAATGCACATCACTAATCATTAGGGGAATGCAGATCAAAGCAGATCAAACATCCACTGCGATTTCACACTCATTAGGTTGGCTATTATAAAATTTGGAAAAAAAAGAAAACCAGAAAACAATCCTTGTGCCTTAATGGTGGGAATGTAAAATGGTAGCGCTGCGCTGGAAAACGGTATGGCAGTTCCTCAAAAAAAAATTAAATGTAGAATTAACACATGGGCAATTCCATTTCTGGACCATATGTTATTTCTATATTTAATTATTATTTTAAAATAATAATAATAAAGATATGACAGTTATAGACCATTATTGACAAAACAACATAGCATTGAGATTTACAAAGTAAAAGGTGCCAGACTGAGTACCCATGATTACCTCCCTTTTTCTCTTCATATTCTTCAAAGTAACCCCAAACACATATAATTTTCAAAGGAGCAAATCTAATGCAACTCTAGAAAAATACCATCAGAACACCAGAAATTGAGGAAACATTTGGAAGACATGCAGGAGACAAGTGCTCTGATACCCAAAATCTAATAAAAAGATTCAGAAGAAAGCAGAGAAAATGGGGAGGGGGAATAATAACAGATTGATTACATACAGAAATAGTGATAGAGATATAGCAGAAAACACATTCAAGCTGAGGAAGCCCTGAGTCTTCAGAGTAAATAAAATGTAGGGAGTTTGGCATAATGAATGAGCTAGGGTAGGGATGGCCCATAAAAAATACATCCTCGATGAAATATCACAACTCTGAGGATAAATAGGAACCCCTAAAAGTGGCCAGAAAAGACGGAATAAAAGGTTGGCATGTGTTATTTGCTACAAGTCACAGAAGATGGAACTGCTCAAGTTGGCTGAAATGAATAAGGAATAGCAAGAAATCACTGGGGCAGACTCCGGCTAGAGAAGAATCGGTGGTTCTATGATGTCAGCAAAAACCAGGTTTTGGCCGGGGGTGGTGGCTCAAGCCTGTAATCCCAGCTATTTGGGAGGCTGAGGCAGGGCAGTTGCTTGAACCCGGGAGGCGGAGGTTGCAGTGAGCTGAGATCGCGCCACTGCACTCCAGCCTGGGGGACAGAGCGACACTCTCAGAAAAAAACAAACAAACACGTTTCTTCCTTTTCTCCACCCTGATCCTCAGGAGCTGGATGTGATGTGGATATGTAAACAAAATCTAGGTTCTGTTGAGAATTAGGAAGGCGAGAGGATATTAGGTAACCAAGAAAGTCCACTACTCTAGACGAACCAAAGAAAGTGCAGCTGACATCAGGCTTCTCAGCAACACGGGTTCTAGAAGATGGTGTGGAGCAATGTCCTCAGATTTCAAACAGAAAATGATTTGGAATTTAAATAGAGTACTATAGATTCTGTAGAATACTATAACCTTCCAATCTTGCATTGGATTGTGAGTGAAGCAAAGGCATTTGGAGGATGAATGTATTTACATAGATTCCAATTCATAGAGTATCTCTGCTAGAATTAGTAATGAATGTAACTCATTTAAAAAAAGAAGAATCCCGCCGGGCGCAGTGGCTCACACCTGTAGTCCCAACACTTTCAGAGGCCAAAGTGGGCAGATGGCTTGAGCTCGGGAGCGCGAGACCAGTCTGGGCAACGTAGTGAAACTCCATGTCTCCCCACCCCCCTCCAAAAAAAAAAAAACCACAAAAACAAAATTAGCCGGGCATCGTGGCGCACGCCTATGGTCCCAGCTACTAGGGGTTGGGGTGGGGTGCTGAGGTGGGTGAATCACTTGAGCCAGGGAGGCAGAGATAGCAGTGAGCCGAAATTTCACGACTGCACTCCAGCCTGGGCCACACAGGGAGACCTGTCCCCCCCCCCCCAAAAAAAAAAGGCCGGGTGCGGTGGCTCACGCCTGTAATACCAGCAGTTTGGGAGGCCGAGGTGGGCAGATCTCGAGGTCAGGAGATCGAGACCATCCTGGCTAACACAGTGAAACCCCATCTCTACTAACAATATAAAAAATTAGCCGAGCGCGGTGGCTCACGCCTGTAACACCAACACTTTGGGAGGCCGAGGCGGGCAGATCACGAGGTCAGGAGATCGAGACCATCCTGGCTAACACGGTGAAACCCCGTCTCTACTAAAAATACAAACAAATGAGCCGGGCGTGGTGGCGGGCGCCTGTAGTCCCAGCTACTTGGGAGGCTGAGGCAGGAGAATGGCGTGAACCCCGGGGGGCGGAGCCTGCAGTGAGCCCAGATCGCACCACTGCACTCCAGCCTGGGCGACAGCGAGACTCCGTCTCAAAAAAAAAAAAAAAAAAGAAAAGAAAAAAGAAGAATCGAAGAAAGTAAAACTTGCATGGATTACAAGATACTGTAGTAAGTAAATCAACAAGTAAAATGTATCTGAGTCAAAATGATTCTTAAGGCATTTTGAAGGTAATTTAATAACAGGATGAAAAACCCAGATGATCACAAAAGAGAGTGACAGTGAAGGAATAGAAGATGCGATGGCATGCTAAGGTTC
The DNA here is from genome assembly GCF_000001405.40 of Homo sapiens. Classification (NCBI taxonomy): domain Eukaryota; kingdom Metazoa; phylum Chordata; class Mammalia; order Primates; family Hominidae; genus Homo; species Homo sapiens. The sequence goes on along the minus strand of NC_000005.10, from coordinate 179,020,194 downwards.
TTGTCTTATTCAGGGGAATAGACATAGATAACAATTAATTTTAGATGGATATCATTTTTTATGTTTAAATATGTACGTTAAAATATTTATAAGAAAGCAATGGGCAAATAGAGATCTGATATATGACTTTGTAACCAGCCCTAGAGTAATCTTAAGCTACACTTGATATCCTCACTAATAATAAAAGTTTTTTTTTGTTTTGTTTTGTTTTGTTTTGTTTTGTTTCGAGACAGAGTCTTGCTCTGTCACCCAGGCTGGAGTGCAGTGGCGCAATCTCAGCTCACTACAACCTTCACCTCCCTGGTCCTGCCTCAGCCTCCTGAGTAGCTGGGATTACAGTCATGTGCCACCACACCTGGCTAATTTTTGTATTTTTAGTAGAGATGAGATTTCGCCATGTTGCCCAGGCTGGTCTCAAACTTCTGACCTCATGATCTGCCTGCCTCAGCCTCCCAAAGTGCTGGGATTAGCAGCATGAGCCACTGCATCCAGCCAAAAATATTATATTGATAAGTTCAAATGTATATACATATTGCAGGATAAAGCAAATAAACAATTACATTAATGTCAATAGCCAAGATTTTCAGAGTAAGCAAGAAGAAATACAAATAAAATGTATTAGTAGTTAAGTGAAAAGCCTATTAGTTAATATTTGAATTGAAAATATCAACAATTGATTTTTGGTTCTTTCTAAAAAAAGAAAAAAATTCCCTGTTCCTATTCACTGCAAAGCCTGGAAGGAATGATAATCCAGTAGTAATTAGCTGCCAAGTGATGGTCTCTAGATTAGCATTTAACACAAAAGGCTTCTGATAAATCCAAAGCAGGGAAGGCCCAAGATAGGCATGGTGGCTGAAAGCAGGAAAGCTATCATAAGGGTCCTGTCAAAAGGGCACAAGAACCAAGCTGAAGGGGTTCTGTTGGACAAAGATGGAAGAAATGATCACCAAAAAGAATACTGGCTACAGTGGATTAAAATGTATCAAATGCCGGCTGCCCCCGTGGCTCACGACTGTAATCCCAGCACTTTGGGAGGCCGAGATGGGTGGATCACGAGGTCAGGAGATTGAGAACATCCCGGCTAACACGGTGAAACCCCGTCTCTACTAAAAATACAAAGAATTAGCCGGGTGTGGTGGCAGCGCCTGTAGTCCCAGCTACTCGGGAGGCTGAGGCAGGAGAATGGCGTGAACCCAGGAGGTGGAGCTTGCAGTGAGCCGAGATAGTGCCATTGTACTCCAGCCTGGGCGACAGAGCGGTCTCCAAAAAAAAAAAAAAAAGTAGCAAATGCCATAAAAATCTGTTTACTATTTCTGGCCAAGATAGAGTAAAAAAGACTGGAATTACTGTCTCACCTTATATACACACTAACAACACCACCAAGAGACAACATGTAACATGAGACATCAGGCAATAAAGGACATTGGTTCCAGAGAGTCAAAAACAAATGAGGTGAGTCCTTCAACTGTCCCATCTTACTGCTTCGACAGAGTCTTCAGGTCAAAGCCCAGAAAAGGCACTGGAAAATCCAACATGCATTCCCAATAAAAAAATCTGTCACCAAGCTACAAATGCAAAAGAACTTGTCTACAAAACCCTACACTAAGACTATACTTTTTTATTTATTTTTTATTTTTTTGAGACAGTCTAGCTCTGTCGCCCCAGGCTGGAGTGCGGTGGCGCAATCTTCTCTCACTGCAACCTCTACCTCCTGGGTTCAAGCGATTCTCCTGCTTAAGCCTCCCGAATAGCTGGGAATACAGGCGTGCACCACCATTCCCGGTTAATTTTTTATTTTTTGTTTATTTTTTTGAGATGGAGTTTCGCTCTTGTTGCCCAGGCTGAAGTGCAATGGCACAATCTTGGCTCACTATAACCTCTGCCTCCAGGTTCAAGCGATTCTCCTGTCTCAGCCTCCTGAGTAGCTGGGATTGCAGGCGCCCGCCACTATGCCTGGCTAATTTTTGGTATTTTTAGTAGAGATGGGGTTTCGCCATGTTGGCCAAGCTGGTCTCAAATTCCTGACCTCGTGATCTGCCTGCCTTGGGCTCCCAAAGTGCTAGAAAAAAATAAATAAGAGAAAATCTTTGTGGCCTTGTGTTAAGCAAAGGTTTCTTGAATGCAACATCAAAAGCATGATCCACAAATGAAAAAAAAGTCAACTTGGACTTCCTGTAAATTAAAACCTGCTTATCAAAGACGCTCTTAAGAAAATGGAAAGACAAGCCACAGATTGGGAGAAATATTTGGAAAGCATAGATCTGATAAAGGTCTTGTATCCAGAATACATAAAGAACTCTTAAAACTCTGTAATAAAAAAAAAAAACCCAAACAACCTAATTTTTTTTTTTTTTTTTTTTTTTTTAGACAGAATCTTGCTCTGTGGCCCAGGCTGGAGTGCAATGGCAAGATCTCAGCTCACTGCAACCTCTGCCTACCCAGTTCAAGCAATTCTTGTACCGCAGCCTCCCGAGTAGCTGGATGACAGGTGCACACCACTACGCCTGGCTAATGTTTGTATTTTTAGTAGAGACGGGGTTTCGCCATGTTGACCAGGTTGGTCTCAAACTCCTGATCTCAAGTGATCCACCTCGGCCTCCCAAAGTGCTAGAATTACAGGCGTGAACCACTGTGCCCAGCCCCAAACCTAATATTAAAAGTGGGCAAAAGATTTGATCATACACTTCACTAAAGAACATACAAGAATAGCAAATAAGCTCACACAAAGTTGCATGACATTATTAGTCATTAAGGAAATGTGAATTCAAACTCCAGTGAGATACCACTTAGCACCTACTGTAGTAGGTTGGAAAAAGATCCCCTCAAATATGTCCAGCTCCTAATCCCTAGATTAGGAACCTGTGAATATTACCTTATACAGCAAAAGAGACTGCCAATGTGACAAAGGTGAGGATACTAAAAGGATAGTGGATGTGGTAATGGATTAGAGTTGGAGACATCAGCATGAACTCCTGTTGAGCTTATTGTAGGTACAAGTCACAACATAGAAATGTTTCTAGACAGGTGTGTATACATAGGTTCACATACACAAATATGTTCTTGCTCTGTTAGCTGACAGGACCTAAAAGCAAAGATGATCCAGTAGCAATAAGCAAACCTAGGGCACAGATCTTGTTTTCCAATACCATTTTCCGATAAAAGGAACCACAGCTCCTTGGAGAAATAGATTCTAAAACAGAGACAGGATATGTACAAGGTGAGCCAGGAACAATTGGTAATGTCAGAAAGCAAAGAAGTTCTCAAAATAACAACAACAAAAACAAGTGATGGGGATGTATCAAGGGACCAAGGAGCCAAATGAGAGGGCTCCTCATGAGCAAAGGTGGAACAATTTGAGCAATAAAATAATGTTGGGTTACAACCCAAAGTACACAATCCATATATGGGAGTCTCCAGCAGCATAAATGAGCAGTGTAATAAATAAATAAATAAATAAATAAATAAATAAATAGGAGAGGACAGGCAAATCTCTCATGCAAAATAATTTAAGGCGGGGAGCCCTGGCTCACGCCTGTAATCCCAGCACTTTGGGAGACCAAGGTAGGAGGATCACTTGAGGCCAGGAGTTCGAGACCAGCCTGGCCAGCATGATGAAACCCCGTCTCTACAAAAAATACAAAAATTAGCTGAGCATGGTGGCGCTCACCTGTAATCCCAGCTACTCAGGAGACTGAGGCACGAGAATCGCCTGAACCCAGGAGGCAGAGGTTGCAGTGAGCCGAGATCTTGCCACTGCACTCCAGCCTAGGCGACAGAGATTCTGTCTCAAAACAAAACAAAATAAAACAAAAAGAGAGAGAGGGAATTTAAAATAGTTAATGCAAATACTCTACCCTCCAGGAGGTGAACAGAAGTCTCCATTCCTTAGAGTGGGCTGTGCATAATGACCTCCTTATTAGCACAAGGTGAAAAGAAGAAAAAGGAGTAATTTTAGAGTGTAGCAACATGACGAGCGCTTCCTCAGTCGAGTGACTAAGGTTAACATCAGCAGTTAAAGTCCTGCTGATGAAAACGACGCTTTACCTCCACAGTCTTTCTTCCAAAAATTCATAACTCCAGCCTGATAATGAGAAAAACATCAGACAGTCACAATAGAGGGTCCTTCTACAAGCTACCTGACCAGGACTCCTTAAACTGTCAAGGTGATCAAAAACACGGAGACTCTTGACAAACTGTCCCAACCAGCAGGAGCTTAAGGAGACACAATAACTAAATGGAATGTGGCAGCCTTGATGGGACTCTGGAACAGAAAAAGGACATCAGACAAATACTAAAGAGAGGTGAGTAATAAAGCACAGACTTCAGTTAATAATAATTTAGCGATATTGGTTCATTCATTGTCTTGTGGGAGACCAGAAGATGCCACCCCAAAATATGCCACTTTAGCATAAGGGTTGTTTTGAGCTGGAGGCAAATGAGAATTAACAGATGCAGACAGTTCTGAGAAGGGAAGACTGACACAAATCCCCTCTCCCAGGGAAGTTTTCTGGCCATGAAGAAGACTGGAAAGTCGACTCTGAGATGGACGATGCGAAAGGAAAAGAAAAACTTGGGACCTGATTCACTATATGCCAAAAGAAAAACAAATTCAGCTGAGAGCTGAGTCATGCCTCCCTTTTGTTCCTAAGGAGACAGTTACAGACAGTTACAGAGAAAAGGTTAACTATGTCCACGGGTTACTCCTCCACGCTCACCTTATGTCATGTAAGGTGCGGATGTACTGAGCTCGAGACAAACACATGATTGACTGAGACTCCCCTGCCTGCTCCTTTTCTCTTGCAACATGTGGATTCAGTAATATGACCATATCCTCCCTCTTTCCCCTCCAGCCCACTTTTCCTTCTTAAATATTCAAGGCCTCAAAATCATCTGGAGAAAGACACAGACCACAGACTATTTATTCCATATTTATTTCTTCCAGGCATGTCCTTAACCTAGGCAATATAAAACTTCTAAATTGATTGAGACCTGTCTCACATACGTTTTGGTTGACAACCTGCACAGAGAAACCTTACTCCATTGGTTTCCTCCAAATATTTACCTTCTCAGAGTCTGCTGCTCCTGGAAGCCTAAAGCCCTTTTCCTTTGTCTTGCCACTTTTCTACAAATGTGTTGTTCTTTTTTGAAGAAGCTGCATAAGCTCAAGTTCTAACCACCCCCTTGAGTGACCGTCGCTGACTTCGCTCGTGTGCGTGCAGTGCACGTGTTAATAAACTCCTGTTGTTTTTCTCTTGGGAATTTGTCTTTTTTTTTTTTTTGAGATGAAGTCTCACTCTGCCACCCAGGCTGGAGTGCAGTGGTGCAATCTCGGGTCACTGCAACTTCCGCCTCCCAGGTTCGAGCAATTCTCCAGCCTCAGCCTCCCGAGTAGCTGGGACTACAGGCACGCACCAACATATCCAGCTAATTTTTGTATTCTTAGTAGAGACAGGGTTTCACCACGTTGGTCAGGCTGTTCTCAAACTGCTGACCTCAGGTGATCTGCCCACCTCGGCCTCCCAAAGTGCTGGGATTACAGGCATGAGCCACCGCACCTGGCCGAATTTGTCTTTTGTCTGTCTAATTTGCAGGGCCCCAGCTGGAGAACCCAGGAGGGCAGAGGGAAAAATTTCTCCTCCCCTGCAGTGTGAAATGCACTAGATTGATGTAAGATGTTCATAATATGAGTATGGGTTATAAGGTGACTGTACACTTTTTGTAACTTTTCTATAAATTGGAAACTATTCTAAAATTCAATTTTTATTAAAAATGATGGCTGGGTGCAGTGGCTCACATCTGTAATCCCAGCACTTTGGAAGGCCGAGGTGGGCGGATCACGAGGTCAGGGATCAAGACCATCCTAGCCAACATGGTGAACTCCTGTCTCTACTAAAATACAAAAAATTAGCTGGGCGTGGTGTCATGTGCCTATAGTCCCAGCTACTCGGGAGGCTGAGGCAGGGGATCGCTTGAACCTGGGAGGTAGAAGTTGCAGTGAGCCAAGATTGCGCCACTGTCCTCCAGCCTGGGCAACAGAGGGAGACTCCGTCTCAAAAACAAAAAATAAATAAATAAATAAAATAAAAATAAAAATGAGATTTGGCACAATGTGAGGTGTTACTGTAATTTTAAACAAGTATTATATGTGTATGAATATTTTATAGTATAATTAGCATTTCTTTGATTTATAAAACATTATCTCATATGCTTATTTTCATTTATTTATTTATTTAAAAAATTATTCTTTCTTTTCCCAATTATGTCTTGAGGTTGTAGGGAAAAAATGAGAAAAACTTTAATATGGACCAAAAAATTTACTGGATATCCGGCCTGGAAAGCCCTCAGGGACTACCTCAACCTTTTATTGTCTTTAAGCTATTTACAACCCTGGAAATTGTAGAAAACTTCTTTTTTTTTTCTTTTTTTTTTTTTTTGAGATGGAGTATCGCTCTGTCACCCACGCTGGAGTGCAGTGGTGCGATCTCGGCTCACTGCGATCTCCGCCTCCTGGGTTCACGCCATTCTCCTGCCTCAGCCTCCCAAGTAGCTGGGACTACAGGCGCCTGCTGCCAAACCCGGCTAATTTTTTGTATTTTTAGTAGAGATGGGGTTTCACTGTGTTAGCCAGAATGGTCTCGATCTCCTGACCTCGTGATCCGCCCTTTTTGGCCTCCCAAAGTGCTGGGATTACAGGCGTGAGCCACTGCGCCCGGCCAGAAAACTTCTAATTATGCAACTGCTCTTGTTTATAGAAATGCAGATTGATTGTGCCTGGTAGAATGCAATTGCCACTTCTCTACAAATGTATTGTTTTTTTGTTAAGATGCTGTAAAATATCTTGTTGCCCTATGAATAGAACCTTTGTGCATCTATTTGTAAATTCATTTCAGCTTATATATGTGCGGTTCTTCGAGTTTTCCTTTGAACTGATTTTAAAAATCTTACTGATTCCCTCATTAGTTAGATAAAAATCTTGCCATCTGTCCATTTTATATTTGTAAGAAAGCCATAATATTACCTTTTTTCCTTTATTCTATAACAAAGACTTAGTGTTTTCTTTCGATATTTGTTATCTTTTTGTTACAAATATTATACTAGTTTTTAATTTTTCTTACAATCTTTCATGACATGCTGAAATTTAAATGCCTTTGTAATTCATTCATAACAATATCTTCTGTGTCATTTATTCAATTGAGGAAAGTATAGAAAAAGAACTTGCCCATCCAGAGACCAGCTCTGTCTGGCATTTTATTCTAGCTATATTTTTCAGTGAATTATCTATATCAAAGAAACGCATGCACGTAGTATATACACCAATTGGTAAGGGAAAGTTCCATTATCAAACAGCAGGCCCTTGTACCACTCCTCCCCAAAGAGGCTACCACAGCAAGAAGGTACGTCTTTCAAGCTTATTTGTTTCTTCTGGAATTTACATCCTTATTTCCAAATTAAGAAACAACAACAACAATTATGCTGCCTTTTTTCTGCTTTCATGTATTAAATATTGACACTGTTTACTCTGTGGTTTATTATTTTTTAATTAGGAAACATTCGATGCAATGCTTGAGAACGATAAATCAGTTTCTTTTTCACCAATAGAAAAAGTACAAGTAACTGCTTAGAGGCTTGTTGTGAAGATTAACCGAGGTAGAAAATATAAAAGTGATAGAGGCAGAAGGCAGAGAGGGGCAGGTTCCCGGAGTAACCAGTCCTGGGTAAATCCTTGGACTGAATTGAGAATCCTGCTTCCCATTTGGCACGCCTTCCTCTGATTGATCCCCATCCTTCACCTGTTTTACATATCCCTACCCTTTTCTAATTGGTTTTCTACACTATCATGCCCACCTTTGAGTAGTATCTTCACTTTAACCTTTTGTGCATACTCACAAACCAATCAGCACGTGCTCCCTATTCTGAGCCAATAAAAAGCCCCAGGCTCAGCCATATGGGGAACATTCCTGCCTTCAGGTAGGGGGACCACCCCCATGTTACCTCCCCATTAAAAGCTGTTTCAGCGCTCAGTAAAACTCCCCACCTGACTCACTCTTTGACTGTCTGCATGCTTAATTCTTCCTGGTTGTGAGACAAAAACCCAGACTTAGCTAAGCTATGGAGCAAAAATCCTGCATCAAAAGCACTTCGGACAGTGGCAAATAGCAAACACTAAATATGTATTAGGCATTATCATCTTATTATTATTTTCATTATTGCTTATTATTGTCCCCATTCTCCACCACCACCAGTGGTAACCATCCTCCTGGATTTTTGTCATTCCACTGATTCTTAAAAAATAAAATTTCCAAATATGTATCCATAAAATATCTGTCTAATTTTCTGCAGCTTGCTGTTTTGCTCATCATTGTGTTTGTAAGATTCAACTATTTTGATAGATGTCACTGAAATTCTTAATTTTGATTGTTCTTTAGTATACATTGTGCAACTATACAACAATTTATTTATTCATTATTCTGTCAGTGGTCATTGTGAGTTTTTTCCACAAACAACACTCATTGAATCCTGGTGTCCATATAATGAGAAATTTTTTTGGGGGGTGGCATTTGCAGAAGTGGAATTGCAGGGCTTTGGGTATATGCATTGTGAACCCCAAATATCTGAGACAGTTCTCCGTTAATTTAGAAAGTTTATTTTGTCAAGGTTGAGGATGTGTGCCTCAGGAGGTCCTGACAACATGTGCCTGACGTGGTCAGGGCGCAGCTTGGTTTTATACATTTTAGGGATACATGAGACATCAATCAATATATGTAAGATATACATTGGTTCCATCCAGAAAGATGGGACAACTCAAGCAGGGAGGGGGCTTCTGGGTTATAGGTAGGTGAGAGACAAAGGGTTCCATTCTTTTCAGTTTCTTTTTTGTTTGTTTGTTTGTTCTGAGGTGGAGTCTCACTCTGTTGCCCAGTCTAGAGTGTAGTGGCATGATCTCGGCTCATTGCAACCTCTGCCTCCTAGGTTCAAGCAATTCTCCTGACTCAGCCTCCTGAGTAGCTGGGATTACGGGTGCTTGCCACCGCACCAGGCTAATTTTTGTATTTTTAGTAGAGATGGAGTTTTGCCATGTTGGCCAGGCTGGTCTCGAACTCCTGACCTCAAGTGGTCCGCCTCAGCCTCCCAATGTGCTGGGATTATAGGCGTGAGCCACCATGCAGGGCTGCATTCTCTTGAGTTTCTGATTAGCCTTTCCAAAGGAGGCAATCACATATGCATTTATCTCAGTGAGCAGAAGGATAACTTTGAACAGAATGGGAGGCAGGTTTGCTCTAAACAGTTCCCAGCTTGACTTTTGCCTTTAGCTGAGTGATTTTGGGGCCCCAAGATTTATTTTCCTTTCACAGCATCTTCAACTTGACAATATAATGCCAAACTATGATGTGATTAAACTAATTTAGAGTAAAAATGTTTTATGAGAGTTCTTCACAATTCAATCAGGTGGAACAAAACAATTAAATGGTAACTCCTCATTGATGTTTTAATTTTAATTTTATTGATTGTTAAGGAAGTTGAACTTCTCCTTTGTTTACGGTCAGTTTGAGTTTCTTCTTTTGTGAAGTGCCCTGAAGTGTTCTGACAATGTTTCCATTGTGTTGTTTGTGTCTTTCTCACTGATGCATGTCTTATACCTATTATGCATATTGATTATTTGTCAATTACCTGCATTGCAGATGTCTTCTGGCAGTTCGTGGCAACAATTTTCATTCCCTTTATGGTGTATTTTGGTGAACAAAAGTTTGTAGTTTTATAGGCAATTTAGTAATTCTTTTCCTTTTGGGCTACAATGTTTAGTGTTTCTTTAACCATATTTAACAATCACTATACTTAGTTCAAAGAACATATTCTCATACATTGAAAAATCTTTTAATTTTCTTCTAAGATTTGTCTTTATCCATCTAGAATTAATTTTATGTATGGTATGAGGTAGGGATCCAATTTCATTCTTTTTCATTATGGTTACCTAAATTACTCAAAATCTTTTATTGATAATTTGTCCTTTTCCCTATAATTTGAAATGTCAGTTTTCCATATATATGGATTTCCATTAATAAATTTTCTATGTATATGTGTAACTTATTTTAAGGACTCTCTATTCTATACAGTTCATCTATATGTCTAAATCTGCACCATTATTGCTTATAAATTAATATAGCTTTGTGATACATCTTGATACATCATCTTGTTTTATCCTTGAAGAGGCACCTGATTATCTTTAGTCCTTTGATTTTCTACATATATTTTAGAATCAGCATGTTTCCCTGTGAACGCCTTTGGGATATAGTTTGGGGCTACATTGAATCTGTAGATCAATTTGAAAAGCAGCAGAATCTTCATATGACTGAGTCTTCCTATCCATGGACATTTTAACCACCTAATTTATCTAGTTCTTCTTTAAGTCTTTAAATAAAGTGTCTTAAGAGTTTCCTTAAAGATTTTTGCCCACCTTTGTTTAGATAATTCCTAGTTATTCTATATATTTTTGTAGCTCTTATAAATGTAATCTTTTTTAAGATTACGTTTTCTAACTTTTTGTGCCTGGTGTATAAAAGGCAAATGATTTTAGAATTGCTCTTATATTTATATATTATTTTCTATGTAGGTATCATGATTAATTTTATGTATCAACTTGACTGGTCCGTGGGGTGCCCAGACATTTGGTCAGACAGTATTCTGAGTGTGTCTGTGAGGGCATTTCCAGATGAGCTAACATTTGAATCAGTAGACTGAGTGAAGCAGATTGGTTTAATGCAGTGTAAGTGGGTCTTAGCCAATCAATTGAAGCTCTGAACAGAACACAAATGTTGACCTTCTCCCGAGTAAGAAGGAACTCCTCTTGCCTTGACTGCCTTGAGCTGGGACATCAGTTTTTTCTGGTTTTGGACTCAAACTGAAACATCAGCCTTGCATGGGTCTCAAGGCTACTGGCTGGACTGAAACTTACACCATGGGCTCTCCAGATTCTCAGCTATCTGGACTCAGACTGAAACTACACTACGGCTCTCCTGGGTCTCCAACTTGCCAACTGTAGATCTTGGAACCTTTCATCCTTCATAACTGCATAAGCCAATTCCTTCTAATAAATCTGTATAATATATCTGTCTATATAATAAATATGTACTTACATAACTCTGTATGTTACATCTATCTATTCTATCTATCTATCTATCTATCTATCTATCTATCTATCTATCATCTATCTATCTATTTATCTATTCTCTGTGTCTTTGGAGAACCCTGACATAGTAAGCAATCATATCACCTGCAAATGATGAAAGCTGTGTATTTTCCAAATCAGTCGTTTTATGTCTTTTTTTCTTGCACTGACTAGTGCCCCCTAGAGGGAATGATAATTGGAATTATTGTCTTGCTCTGATTTTAAAGGAAGTAGATACTTCAAATAATTCATCATGGAGTGCAATATTTTCTGTAGGCTTTTAGTAGATAACTTCATCAGTTTAAAGAAGATCCTTAGATTATGAAACATTTACAATTATGAATGAATATTAGATGTTATCAAATGCTTTTTCTGCATCCATTTAGATAATCATGTTTTTCCTTTAATCTGTTAATGCGGTGAATTACATTAATAGATTTCCTAAGTCATTAATCTGCTAAAGTGCATTTCTGGGACAAACCAGACTTGGTTATGACATTGTATGTATTTCAGTTTGCAAATATTGGACTAGGATTTTTGTATCTATATTCCTTAGTTTGACCTGTAAATTTTATTTCTTGTACTAAGTATTAGCCTCACGAAAGGCATTGTCAAATGTTTTCTTTTCTTCTATTCTGAAATTGTTTGTGAAAAAAATATATTTTGTTGCAGCACATGTTTCTGTATTGTGGATTAGTTTGATGATATGTGGAAAGTGTCTTGGTTTGTGTGGGATTTTCCCCCCAGCATATTAATATTTTACACTCAAAGTAAGAGGATCTGAATGCAGGCAAAACAACACAGCTGAGAGAGTACAACTTGAAAATATGGGGCTGTGCCTGTTGTAGCTTTGACTCAGTCTCTCTCAGCTTAGTGTGGCCCCTTGATCTCTCACAAACACTTCTGTTGGGTCTTCATAACTCAGTGGCATCAACCCTTCATCACATCCTTTCCCTCCAACATACTTTCATCTTTCTTAAAAGGTCAAGTTCTCAGTTTACTATAGTATGTATGTATAAATATGCACATATGTACTTATGTTTTTAACAATTTATTATGCCCTTTTAACTTTGCTGTTATTTTTCATTAGGATTGTGGTTTTCATTAGTGTTCTGGTTCCAAAGCTCCTTATGTTTTGAATGGTCTGTTACAATCCTATTATTCCAATACCTCTGTTTATTTTTTGTCTGCAGTACAACACAAGAATTTTCAGAAATACCTATACTGTGGTCTAGCAGAAACACCTTATTCATTCCTTTATTATTTTTTGGCATTTGTCTGAGCCTGGATCTCCACTTGCTGTCCCCTCTGCCTGGTAGCCATCAACATTGCTTTTTTCACATTCCTTCCGGTGTCTGCCCAAGTATTTCCTACCATAAAGGCCTTCTATATACTGAATTTGGTATCCACATGCAAAAGAATGAAGTTGGACCCCTACCTCACATCATATACAAAAATTAACTCCACTTGGATCAAAGACCTAAATGTGAGAGCTAAAGCAATAGAAAACTATATAGGTGGTGGTTCCCCAACACTGTGAATGCCCTATGATTACAGAATGGAAAACTACAACAACCAATCAGGTAGGACTACTCACGGCCAAGCCCTTTTAGGAGTAAAAATTTGGGTAGCCCCACCAGGTTAAGATCCACAGCCAGCTGAAGTGTGTGCTGAGGGCAACAGGAATATGGAATGGGTAGTGGAAGAAGATAGTAATAAGTACTACCTATGACTACATGACCAGTGATAGAAATAAGGACTGTACTTGAGTATTTTTTCCTTGTTTGGTTATGAATATGTTTTGGAAATATTTTTTCCCTCTCTTATCCCTCATCATGTAACGTACAGTGTGTTTGACTTTATGTCATAGTATTTAAGTATGGTTAACTTTACATCATAGCATTTAAGTTATGGCACATCAAGCAGAAGAGCAAACATCACCTAAAGACTTTTCATCTTCTGGGGAAAGGATTAGTGCACTTTCAGTTGTATGCAGGGGTTTATCCTGTTAGGCAGAAGTATGACCTTTAGTTGTCTTGGTTTGGAGATTGAATATGGTTTAAGCAGATACATATGCATGTCAAGTTGACATAGACTTCTGATGATTAATTCTATGTGTCAACTTGTCTAGCCCACAATACTGATATTTAGTTAAATATTATTTCAGATGTGTCTGTTACAGTGTTTTTGGATGATATTTACATTTAAAACAGTGGGCTTTGAGTAAAGCAGATTGCCTTCCATAATGTGGGTGGGCCTCATCCAATCAGTTGAAGGCCTGACTAGAACAAAAAACAGACCTCACCAGAGCAAGAAGGAATTCTGCCGGCAGATGGCCTTCGGACTTGAACTGCAACACTGACTCTTCCTGGGGCTCCAGACTGCCAAAGTGGCTAGGCTCCATAATCACACAAGCCAATTCCTCAAAACAAACCTCTCTCTCTCTCTCTCCCTCTCTCTCTCTCTCTCTCTCTCTGTGTGTGTGTGTGTGTGTGTGTGTGTGTAAGAGTTCTGTTCAAATTATAAATGTTAGACCCTTATCAGATGTATAGAATGTATCAAATGTTTAAAAATATTTTCTACTGTTCTCTGGTTTCCTTTTTTAGTTTCTTGATAGTTTTCTTTGATGGCAAAAGTTTTACATTTTGTTTTTAATTTACTTTGTTTAATTAAAAGTTTCCAATTTATTATTTCTTGGAGTGTTTGTGCTTTTCATACCATATCTAAGAGATTGTTGTCTAATCCAAGGGAATAATGATTTACATCTATGTTTTATTCTAAGAGTTTCATAGTTTTAAATCTTACATTGAAGTCTTTGAACCATTTTGATTAAATTTTGTGTATGATGTGAGGAAAGAGTCCAGATTCATATTTTTGCATGTATATCCAGTTATCCCAACACCGTTTGTTAAGAGACCATTTTCTTCCACATTAAATGGTTTCACCACCCTTGTCAAAAATCAATTGGCTGTAGATTTTGATTCCTTCCTTGAAAATCAATTGACTATAAATATGTTAGAATATATTTTTGGACTCCTAATTTTATTCCATTGATCTAGATATCCTTACGCTTATACCACACTGTTTTGGTCAGGGCCCCTTGCAATTCCATATATATGTGAGGATTGGCTTTGCCATTTCTGAAAAATATTAAATCTTCCAATCCATGAACACAGGGTATCTTTCTATTTATTTTAAGTTTTCTTTCATTTAATTCAGCCTTACTTTATAGTTACTAGTGCCCAAGTCTCTCACTGTCTTGGTGAAATTTATTGCTAAGTATTTTATTATTTTGAATACTGCTGTGAAAGGAATTTGTTTTTAATTTACTTTTGAGCTTAATTTAATTTATTTAATTTACTTTAATTTACTTAATTTAATTTTTATTTACTTTTGAGCTTATTGCTGATGTATAGAAATATATCTTATTTTCATATATGGGTCCCATACACTGCAAATTTGATGAATTAATTTATTAAGTATAGTAGGGTTTTTTTTGTACATTCTGTGTGATTTTTCCAAATAAAGGATCATTCATCTCTGAATAGAGAGTTTTACTTCTTCTTTTCCAGTATACATGGCTTTTATTTCTTTTTCCTGCCTAGTTGCTCTGGATAGAACTTCTGGTACAATGTTGAATAGCAGTGGTGAAAGTGGGCATTCTTGTGTTGCTCCTGATTTTAGGGGGAAAGCTTTCATCTTTTACCATTGAGTATGTTAGCCATGAGTTTTTCATAAATTCCCTTTACTGTGTTGAATGAGTCCCTTTTTTATTCCTAGTTTTCTGAGTGTTTTTATTCTAGAAGTATGTTCAATTTTTAAAAAGTGCTTTTCCTGCATTGATTGAGATTGATTGAGATGCTCGTGTGGCTTTTTTCCTTCATTCTACTAATGTGGTGAGTTATAGTGATTGATTTTCATATGTTGAACCACCTTTGCATTTCTGAGATTAATCTCGCATGCTCGTGGTGCATAATCCTTTTTACATGCTGCTGGATTCAGTTTTCTAGTATTATGTTGATGATTTTTTGCATCTATATTCGTAAGTGATAGTGGTCTATAGCTTACTTGTATATCTTTGTCCGGCTTGGTACCAGGTTAATGCGGGCCTCATATATAGAATGGTTGAGGAAGTGTTCTCTCTTCTTTTGTTGTTGTTGTTCTGTTTTTTTTTGTTTGTTTTTTTGTTTTTTTTTTTTTTTGAAGAGTTTGAGAAGGATGGATGTTAACTGTTTGCTAGAACTCACCCAGTGAAAGAAAGATTTTTCCTTTCTGGGAGATTTTTGATTGCTGGTAACAATATAAGTCTGTTAAGATTTTCTTTTTTTTTTTTTTTTTTTTTGAGACGGAGTCTTGCTCTGTCACCCAGGCTGGAGTGCAGCGGCGCGATCTAAGCTCACTGCAAGCTCCGCCTCCCAGGTTCACACCATTCTCCTGCCTCAGCCTCCCAAGTAGCTGGGACTACAGGCGCCCACCACTACGCCCGGCTAATTTTTTATATTTTTAGCAGAGATGGGGTTTCACTGGGTTAGCCAGGATGGTCTCGATCTCCTGACCTCGTGATCTGCTCGCCTCAGCCTCCCAGAGTGCTGGGATTACAGGCATGAGCCACTGCGCCTGGCCAGGTCTGTTAAGATTTTCTATTTTCTTCTTGAGTCAGTATTGGTAGTTTGTGTGTTCCCAGGAATGTGTTCACTTCATCTAGGTTATCTAATTTGTTAGCACACAATTGTTTGTAGTATTTTCTTATAACTATTTTTATCCCTCTAAGGTCAGTAACAATGTCCCCACTTTTATTTCTAACTTTTAGCACTGGGGGAGCACTGAATTAGGTAAAATAAAGACACCTTTCAAGTAGGGTCTTCCAGTGAACCATCACATGGGTCTGACAGGGGCAACTTTGCAGCCTTATGTTTTAGGGGAGTCTCATAAGCAACATTAAACTGGATTTTGTTTCACAAAAACTTGAAATTTTTGTCTCTTAAACTGAAACATTTAGCAGAATTACATTTATTTGAGTTACGAAGATACTTCAACTTAGTTCTCACATCTTACTTTTTGTTTTCTAATTGTCATACTTTTTTATGTTTTAAAATATTTAAATTGTGAAAAGTAACACATAAATTTAAAAAAAATGCAAGACCATGAATGTTCAGTGTAATAGAAGAGTGTAAATAAAACACCCACATAGGTGGGGCGCAGTGGCTCAGGCCTGTAATCCCAGCACTTTGGGAGGCCGAGGCAGGCGGATCACGAGGTCAGGAGATCGAGACCATCCTGGCTAACATGGTGAAACCCCGTGTCTACTAAAAATACAAAAAAATTAGCCAGGCGTGGTGGTGGGTGCCTGTAGTCCCAGCTACTCGGGAGGCTGAGGCAGGAGAATGACGTGAACTCGGGAGGCGGTGCTTGCAGTGAGGCGAGATCGCGCCACTGCACTCCAGCCTGGGCGACAGAGCAAGACTCCGTCTCAAAAAAATAAATAAATAAAATAAAATAAAATAAAATAAAAAACACCTGCATAATCCCTCACAACCCACAAGTGCTCTCACAAGTCACCTCCCAGTCATGATCCTTCTTTGCATTTCTTTGTGCTTTTACTACGGAAGTGTGCATCTCTACATACTGTGATTTACTTTGCCTGTTTATGGATATTATGAAAAATGGAATTACAGTATGCGTGTTCAATTATATGGACGATTAATCTGTGCTATTACTTGTCATTTTGGCTCACTCCTTTTTCTATATAATATTCCATTTCAGTGCATGGAATACCACAAGTTATTTATTCATTTTACAATGTACCTTTCATTTGTTCCATTTTTTTCTCTAATAAATAACAGTACCTTGAATGTTCATATGCATATATCTGTGCATTCATTTCTCTAGGGAATATACCTACAAATATAATTGCTGAGACCTAGGGCATGTGTATCTTCGACTTTAGTAAATAATTCAAGACTGTGTTCTTGCAAATTGCACCAATTTACCCTCCCACTGGCAGTGCATGAGGATTCCTATGTTTCATCACCCTTAACACAGGGAATTTTGAATCTCTTCAATTTTAGCCTTTCTGCTGGATAGTTCATTGTGGTTTAAATCTACATTTCCCTAATTTTAACAAGGCTAAATTTTTTCATATTGTTATAGATATTTTGATACCCTTTTTTGTGAACTGACTGCTCAAATCTTTTGCCCATTTTTCTAATGTGTAATTTTTGTTTTTATGATTGATTCATAGAAGTTCAGTCTGCATGCTGTAGCCTAGTGCTTTGTTGGTTATATGAGTTATAAATATCTTCTCCCACTTGGTGGCTTGCCTTTTCCCTCTCTTTATGGAGTCTTTTCCTCTTGTTTTGTTTTCTAGAAAAATAGTGTTATGAACTCTTATAAACCTATCATCTAGCTTTGATCATTATCAACATTTCATCCTTATCCTTATGCTGTCTGTAAGAGAGTTCTTAATTTTAAGGTTGTCAAATGTATAGTTCCTTTCTTTTATGATTAGTTTTTTTGTGTGTTCAGTTTAAGATATCTTTCCCTAAGGTCATGAAATACTCTCACCTACAATCTTTGACCTATTTATTGGTTTGTGATATGGTTTGCCTCTGTTCCCCATGCAAATCTCATGTTGAAATGTGATCCCGAGTATTGGAGGTGGGGCCGGGTGGGAGGTGACTGGATCATGGGGGCAGACTTGCCCGTTGCTGTTCTCATGATAGCGAGCGAGCTCTCACAAGGTCTGGTTGTTTAAAAATGTGTAGCACTTCCCCCTTCTCTCTACTCCTCTTGCTCTGGCCATGTGAAGACACGCGTGCTTCTCCTTCCCCTTCTGCCATGATTTTAAGTTTCCTGAGGTCTCCTCAACCGTGTTTCCTGTAGAGCATGTGGAATTGTGAGTCAATTAAAACTTTTTTCTTCATAAATTACCTAATCTCAGGTAGTTCTTTATAGCAGTGTGAGAACAGACTAATACAGTTTGCATTTCCCATTTAGGTAAATAATGCATCTGAATTGATTTTGGTGTGTGGAATGAGGTAGGGGTATAGTTCCTTTTATTTTCATAGGGGCACCTAATTTTCCCACTTCATTGATTGAAAAGACTGTCTTTTATCCACAACTCTGTAGTGTCATCATTCCCAGGCTTTTTCTCTTGGGGGGTGTGTGTGTGTGTGTGTGTGTGTGTGTGTGTGTGTGTGTGTTGCTGTGGCCTCCAGCTGGCCCTCCAGAGCCCTGTCTCAGGCTTAGTGGTCGCGGTCGTTGGGGATCCTGAGCTAAGCCAATGCTGATCATGAGAATCCCAGTCACACAACTGCCAAGTGGCTTCCATCCCTGGCCGAGCCCGCGAGGCTGACTCTGGTCACACAGCTGCCGAGTGGCTTCCATCCCTGGCCGAGCCCGCGAGGCTGACTCTGGTCACACAGCTGCCGAGTGGCTTCCATCCCTGGCCGAGCCCGCGAGGCTGACTCTGGTCACACAGCTGCCGAGTGGCTTCCATCCCTGGCCGAGCCCGCGAGGCTGACTCTAGCTATTGCCTGTGATGGTGTCTGTGCCACAGGGGCAGAGGTCAAAAGTTATGACAGAGGGGCAAAGCCAAACATGTTTACTCACTGGTTTTCTATTGGTGCTGTAACAAGTTACCACAAACTCAGTTCATGACAACAACGCAAATTGATTCTCTCACAGTCTGAAACCAGTTTCAGGGGATGGAAATCAGGGTGTCAGCAGGACTGCCCCCATCCAGGTGCTCTCGGGGAGATCCACTTCCTTGCCTTTCCCAGGTGTCAGAGGGGCATTCCTTGGCCCTTTCTGCATCTTCAAAGGCTACATTTAGCATTGTTGCATCACTCCCTGCTGCCATCTTCATGGCACCTTCTCTTATTCCTGAGGGCCCTACGATTACATGGGGCCCACGTGACAATTCAGGATCTCACAACCTTAATCTGATCACGTCTATAAAGTCCCCTTTGCTATATAAGGCAGCACTCACAGGTTCTGGGAATTAGAACTTCGACAGAAGCAAGGGTATTATTCAGCCTACACATGTCCCTTTAGGAAAAAGTTTTCTTGGCTAGGCATGGTGGCTTGTGCCTGCAATCTCAGCACTTTGGGAGGCTGAGGTGGAAGGATTGCTTGAGCCTAGGAGGTGGAAGCTGCAGTGAGCCATGATTGGGCCACTGTACTCCAGTCTGGGTGACAGAGCGAAACCCTGTCAAAAAAAAAAAAGCCCCGAAAAAGTCAAAAAGAAAAAGTTTTCTGAGCCATGTTCTGAGTAGATGTTCACTGTAGATCTGGGATGACTTCTCGGAGATATATTCTATGGCCTTGTTGTATAGTACTTTGATTTCTCTAATTTTGAAGAAAATTTGTGTTCTGGTTAAAGATCTTCCTGTTTAAAAACAAAACAATATCCCCTAACTAATGGGTTCCTTAAAATGAAGTTTCTCAAATATATTTCATGTTTGAAATCCCTCATTGCCCTGTGGAAAGGCAGCTTAAATAAAACACAGCCTTTATAAACCAGTGTCTGGTGCATTGTGCACTTAAACATTTCTGTTTCAAAACGGAGGCAGTTCCTCCATTATCAAAACTGTGAGCCCAAGAGTTGGTGTTCACGTTGAACTTCAAGCCAATGCCAATGCCAAGCAATAAAAACCACATGGACTGGTATCATGAAAATGATGAATTCTAAACCCCAATATGATGCGTTCAATTCCTTTGGAAAGCTGTTTGGGCCTTTTACTTAGGCTAAGATTCAGATTTGATCAAATTACTTTATGATTTTCCTTTTGAAAATACTCCCTCTCGGCCAGGCGTGGTGGCTCACGCCTGTAATCCCAGCACTTTGGAAGGCAGAGGCAGGCGGATCATGAGGTCAGAAGATCGAGACCATCCTGGCTAACACGGTGAAACCCCATCTCTACTAAAAATACAAAAAATTAGCCAGGTGTGGTGGCGGGTGGCTGTAGTCCCAGCTACTCTGGAGGCTGAGGCAGGAGAATGGCGTGAACCCGGGAGGCGGAGCTTGCAGTGAGCAGAGATCGCACCACTGCACTCCAGCCCGGGCGACAGAGCGAGACTTCCTCTCAAAAAAAGAAAATACTCCCTCTTCATTTATATAATGTCACAAACAGGCAAAACTGTACCACGGGTTATTTAGGGATAGACACTTATTTTATTATGGATTCCAAATTAACCTACACTTCATGCATTTCGTTGTTGTTGTTGTTAGTTTTGAGACAGAGTCTCGCTCTGTCACCCGGGCTGCAGTGCAGTGGTGTGATCTTGGCTCACTGCAACCTCCGCCTTCTGGGTTCAAGTGATTCTCCTGCCTCAGCCTCCCAAGTAGCTGGGATTACAGGCACGCACCACCGCGCCCGGCCCACTTGCATTTCTATGCCACACTCATAAGCGGATCATGAGGTCAGAAGATCGAGACCATCCTGGCTAACACGGTGAAACCCCATCTCTACTAAAAATACAAAAAATTAGCCAGGTGTGGTGGCGGGTGGCTGTAATCCCAGCTACTCAGGAAGCTGAGGCAGGAGAATCATTTGAACCGGAGAGGCGGAGGTTGCATCACTGCACTCCAGCCTGGGCGACAGAGCGAGACTCTGTCTCAAAAAAAAAAAAAAAAAAAAAAAAGATACGGACACTGAGGCTAAATAAAGGTACAGAGACTTGCTCAAGGTCACCTTGATAAAAAGTGACCAGGCCAAGATTTAGACCTGGGCTCTGTAGCCCTGAGTGTGCACTGAACCACCCCCCTATAGTCCCACTGGGTGCCCTTTGCTCTTTCCCCTGGATGCCTCAGGCCCAGTCAGAGGGTCTATGGAGGGAGTTATGTCCCCAAATTCTTACGCGGAAGCCCTACTGGCAATATCAGTGCTGTAAGAGTGGACGGAGCTGTAACAGGGGATGAGGTTAGATGAGGTCGCGAGGGTGGAGCCCGAATCCGATAGGCCTGGTGGCCTCATGAGCAGAGGACAAGAGGACTCTCCCTCCTCCTGCACACACCAAGAAAAGGCCACATGAGGACGCAAGGAGAAGAGGATGGTCTGCAAGCCAGGGAGAGGCCCGCCCCAGAACCCACCACGATGGCACCCTGATCTCAGACGCCCAGCCTCCAGAGCAGTGGGAAGACAAATCTCTGTTCTTTAACCCTCTGTCTGTGGGGCTTTGTTATGGCCGCCCAGCTGAGGAAAACAGCCACAGGGTCTGCAAAGCTATGGGGTGTGACCACAGGGCAGTGCGTTTGTGGCATCCAGACCCACACTTGTGCCGTGGTGAAGTTCAATGAACAGAAGCTTGTGACAGACTCCTTTGACGACACTGTGGCTTGCTGGGAATGGAGTTCCGGAGCCAGGATCCGGCACTTTCGCGGGCACACGCGGGCAGTGTTTAGCGTGGACTACAATGATACCTTGGTGAGCGGCTCTGCGGCCTTCACTGTGAAAGGATGGACTTTATCTACTGGGGCATGCCTGAGCACACTCACTGGGCACACGCCATGGGTCACCAAGGTAGTTCTGCAGAAGTGCAAAGTCAAGTCTCTCTTGCACACAGTCCTGAAGGATACCTCCTCTTAAGTGCAGACAAATATGAGATTAAGATTTGGCCAACTGGGACAGAAATCAACTGCAAGTGCTTAAAGACATCCTCTTGTCTCTGAGGTTAGAAGTATCCGCCTGCAGCCAAGACTTCGTGTTGATGGCAAATACACTGTTTGTAGTTCAGCCCTCCGTCTCTAGCAGCGGGACTTTGCCAACAGTTATGATATTCTCAGGGTCATCAAGACTCCTGAGATAGCAAACTTGGCCTTGCTTGGCTTTGGAAATACTGTTGCCCTACTGTTTGGCAGCTGCCACCTGTACATCATGGACTTGCAGACCCAGAGCCTCATTAATCGCTGGCCTCTTCCAGAGTACAAGAAATCAAAGAGAGGCTCAAGCTTCCTGGCAGGCGAAGCATCCTGGCTGAATGGAGCAGATGGGCACAATGACACGGGCTTGGCCTTTGCCACCAGTATTCCTGACCACAGTATTCACCTGGTGTGGAAGGAACACAGCTGACACCATGAGCCCCCACCACCGACTGACTATGGGTGCTAGGGCGGGGGTTTTGGGGTGCAACCTCTATGCCAGCTGACTGCATGAACCAAAGTTCTCACCTATGGTATCATCACGCAGTGCACGTCATTTATCTGTTTGCCAGGGGGCCAGGGCTTGGGGTGGGGGAGGGCTTGTTTTACTGACACACATGTAGCATGCTAACGGGGTACATCATGGACTTCATTTGTACTCAGTTAGGTTGGTGAGTGTAAAAGGATCCATTCTGGTTCATCTTTCTTGAGTGGAATATTGGTTTTATATAAAGAAAGTTAAATGATTTGTTAATCTGCTGATTGGTTGCGTATGAAATCACATTGTCTGTTATTAAAGCTTTTCACCATAAAAAAAAAAAAATCTCTGTTCTTTGACTGTCTGTGTGGAACTCTGCCATAGCAGCCCAGCTGAGGAAAACAGTCCCAGGGTCAGGGAACAGCAGGACTTCTTCTTGGGGCAACCTTTTAAATGACGTCCTGTGCATTTTGTACAAATTCTGTGCTACCTCATCGAGCCTGAGCAGCTGTATCAGGATGCTGTAAGAGGGCCCTATGGCCTGTGCGAGGTGCACTTTGGCCTTCTGCCCCTGCACGGGGCTGAATAAATTATGCTGAATGTTCCCTCCTTCCTCAATCCTTGTTTCTGGGCCCCTCTGGTGCCTACGCTCCTGCTTCTCCTCTAACTCCTCGGCCACCCCCTCCCAGTCTCCTTACTTCTGCTCAGACCTGCATGTTGGGGTTCCTGGGGCTCCAGCCTCACTGTCTGTCCACACTCTCAGCCCCAGGGAACTCCTGCGTCCCACGGCTTTAAACGCCTCCGTGGCGATCCCACCTCAGCTTTCTCTCCCGCCCTGGCCTCTTCCCTCAGTTCCAGGCTCATGAACCACGAAGCCTCCACTTTCCTGCCCAAACCCGAACTCTTGGCTTCTGCCCTCCTTGACCTGCTCAGCTGTGTCTCTGGTCCTCATATTCTCAGGGAATGCCCCAGCAGCTATGCCATCCTCCACCCCTCCAAGAGCCAAATCTCCATCAGGTCTAAAATCCTGCCACCCCCCTCCCCTTCTCCTCCAGCCCCCTGCTCACAGGTGTGCATGCCTCCCTCCTACACGGCGAGGACCCCCTGCCAGTCCCCCAGCTGCTGCCCCCGCTTCCTGATGGTCTGTCCTCCAGACAGGGGCAGTGGCTGCCTTGGTCATGCCAAGCAGGAGGCTGCTGTGTGCTGGGAGCTGTCAGGCTCGTCCTGAACAGGGAAGGGCCCATCCACCTCCCAAACCCAGTTTATGCAGTCCTTCGCAATGTCAGGCTCAGGGCCTGGCACCAGCCAAGCTCCCCACCCTTCCCACTGTTAAAATGGATAGGAGCAGGGCTAGGCCCAGCCTGTTGACTCTGGGCTTCCACCAGGAGAAGTGGTTCTGGCAGTAGAAACTATCGGGGCCTGGGAGAGGCGGGGGAAGAGAGAAAGGTGGCATGTTTCTTGCTTGCTCCCTCTACCAGCCTTGTCCAAATCCCCGCAGCCACCCTAATCCAGCCTGTCTAATGGAGCCCAAGCCGGCTCAGGCCCTCGGACGAGGAGCCTGCTAATCCCTGTGGCTAGGAGCTCACCACCTGTCTCCAGGACGCCCTTTGCTCTCTTGGCATCAGAGAGCCAAATCCTGGGCCTCGGATGGGGGGATGATAAAAGCATCTTTTGGCCAAGCCCCCTCACCTTGGCCTCCACGATGAGATGGGGAGTTAGGTGCAGAGAGCGTTGGCACAGTGAGCACCGCAGCTCGAGTGGCTGCCTCAGACCCAGAGCCCGAGGAGACTTTATACGGAGCCAGAACGACCCCGCGGGGTTCCATCCTCCCAAGCAATAGGCGGGAGTGGGAGCTGCGAGGAAAGCCGGCCCCTCCCCTCCCTCCATCCAAGGCAGTGTGGGCTGTTTGTTTCATGCCATTCTGGGTGTGAATCCTGATGCCCACACATGCCAGCTGCATGCACTTGGGCAACTCAACTCACTCCTCGAGGGCTGTTTCTCGACTGCAGGGTGTTGTAAGTTCGCTAATACTAAAGGCTTCTCCCTCCTGGCCCCTTCCTGCCCCTCGCTCTTCCTCCTCTTCCTTAGGCCCTCCCAGCTCAGGCAGCCCCTGCCCCCTGCAGGGTTCTGCAAGGAGAAAGCTGGGGAATACCTTAGGCAACTGCAGTCAGGAGCACTGGTGGCCAGGACAGAGACAGAGAGACAGAAAAGGGGTCAGGGACAGAGAGAGATAACCGCAGGGAGAGACAGGAAGGGACAGAGACAGAAAAGATTTCCAAGAAGAGGACAGAGGCAGAAAGCCAGGGACAGAGACTGAGAAACAGAGACCTAGAGGCAGAAGAAGACTGAGATAGAGATGGACAGAGATTGTGTCAGACACAGCCCCAGAGACAGCCAGACAGTCTGAGTCAGACGCAAACCAAAGACAAGAAAACAGGAAAACAGACCCAGAGATTGGGAGAGGGAGGGGAAGGAGATGCGGGGAGAGCCAGCACCGCCACCCCCCACACTCAGGAGGGGTCTCCACCCTCGGAGCGGTCTCTCATCCCTCCCTAGAATCCTTAAATCCTCTCTCGCTCAGGGCCTCGGCCGCATCTGTCACAGACTTGTCCTGAACCGACAGCGGCTGGCGCAGGTGACTGGCTTGGGGCGGGAGCCTGGGTGTGCGCTGGGGATGGACCCCGAGGAAGAGGGGCCAAGCTGTCGGGAAGCGGCAGGGCTGGAGGGGTGGAGGCAGTGGTCGGGCGGGACCCCGGGCGACAGGGTTCGGCGCTTGTAAGAGCGAGACGGAGGCCCGGGCAGGCCGGCTGAGCTAACTCCCCAGAGCCGAAGTGGAAGGCGCGCCCCGAGCGCCTTCTCCCCAGGACCCCGGTGTCCCTCCCCGCGCCCCGAGCCCGCGCTCTCCTTCCCCCGCCCTCAGAGCGCTCCCCGCCCCTCTGTCTCCCCGCAGCCCGCTAGACGAGCCGATGGCGCGGCCCCGGAGAGCCCGGGAGCCGCTGCTCGTGGCGCTGCTGCCGCTGGCGTGGCTGGCGCAGGCGGGCCTGGCGCGCGCGGCGGGCTCTGTGCGCCTGGCGGGCGGCCTGACGCTGGGCGGCCTGTTCCCGGTGCACGCGCGGGGCGCGGCGGGCCGGGCGTGCGGGCAGCTGAAGAAGGAGCAGGGCGTGCACCGGCTGGAGGCCATGCTGTACGCGCTGGACCGCGTCAACGCCGACCCCGAGCTGCTGCCCGGCGTGCGCCTGGGCGCGCGGCTGCTGGACACCTGCTCGCGGGACACCTACGCGCTGGAGCAGGCGCTGAGCTTCGTGCAGGCGCTGATCCGCGGCCGCGGCGACGGCGACGAGGTGGGCGTGCGCTGCCCGGGAGGCGTCCCTCCGCTGCGCCCCGCGCCCCCCGAGCGCGTCGTGGCCGTCGTGGGCGCCTCGGCCAGCTCCGTCTCCATCATGGTCGCCAACGTGCTGCGCCTGTTTGCGGTGAGGGCCGCGGGGCCGGGCTCGGTGTCCAGCGTCCCTCTCCCGTCCTCGCCCTGGGGTGGCCCAAGTCTCCTTCCTTTACTTCTTCTGAAAGAGTCTCCGTTTTAATCACTCGAATTCACACAGCGTCAAAGAAGCCCTGTCAGTTGAGCCCGACGCAGGCCTGAATCGGCTCCACCCAAACACTCCAGCCGCCCATGTCTACCCCGCCCCGCGAGGGCGCCCCTTCCCGGGCGGGTGCCACCTACGCCTCTGGCCGGTTGGCTGGGGAGGGCGGCCTGACTTCAGCCCCCATTTGCCAGCCTGCTCGGGTGCCCTTGTTCTGGGCACACCCCTGCAACCATACAAGGTGCTCCTGCCCCCTGGGCCTGCGGAGCGCTCGAGTGATATTGCAACTTTGAGTTTTGTTTGGAACCCGGGCCCTTCTTCCAGAGCAGCAACTGGGGCGTGTCCCTGGGCTGCTATGGGGGATGGATAGGCCTGAAAGGTCTGGTCTTTCTCTTTTTTGATCATTTAAATTTATTTTCAAAATGCCTTGAACTCTCCCTCAAGGGGCATCTGAGAGCAGGGCGGGGCGTTCCCTTCTGAGCTCTGGTCTCCTGCACCCTGCCCTGCGCAGGTGCCCGGGCTGGCCCTGCTCTGTCCTCAAATGTAGGGAACTGTCCCGTGAGGGGCAGCGTGTTCCTTGCAGTCCTAGGGGCCAGCAGAATCGGGATTAGGAGGGCTTTGGCATACAAGTTTGGGGGTTTTCGATTTGGTCATTCACTGGGGGTTGTGGGACAGTTTTTCTGGGGTTCTGTGGCGGGAGGGGCCTGTGTGCATCCGGCTCTCTGTGAAGGAGGAAGGCCTGGCTTCCATCTACCTAGGAGAGGAACTTCTGTTTCCTGAGAGCTTCTCCGACTCCCGGGCGCAGCGTCTGTGTTTGTTCCAGGCGTGCGGGGCCGCTCCCTATCGTCTGCGCACATGAAAGCCCCCATCCCTGTTTCCTCGGATTGGCAGTGTTGATGTGACATCTCCACGCTGGCACCAGACAGGCTGTGCGGCCGCCCAGGGGTTTTTCACCCACCTGTATGTGTCCCCGGCCCTGCCTAGAGCTCTAGTTTCTGTCTCTGTCCTCTAGGTCGAATGCAGAGATTCCAGACCCCAAGGCCTTCAGGGGCCCAGTTGGGGACTCAGGTGGGCAGGACTCTGTGAGCCCAGGGCCCGCTGCTGCCAGCTCAGCCCAGATTGAGGTTGTGCTGCCCGGCTAGAAATGCAAACATTAATAAAAACTGTGCAAAACACAGCCACAGGCAAGATGCTGCAATTCCTGGTCTAAAAGAACTACATTCATTTCCCAGCCACATGACCGTGCTGGCAGGCATTTTAAATTAACTTCCCTCAGGAGGTCCAGGGGGCATGGGAGGGTTGTTCCCAAACTCAAGTGTCCAGGAGAGCTGGGAGGACCACAGCATTATTCACTGAGCTGTGGCCACTGGGCCTTTCTCGTCTCTCGGTCTCCTCAGTTGTTTCTCTCTCTCTCTCTCCCTCTCTCCTTCTTGTTTCTCTCCAGCCCCACCTTCCCTCTTTCTTTCTCTCTCCCTGCCACTCCCGGCTTCCTTTTCATGCTGTCTCTATACTTTCTATCCTGCTTCAAACAACCCTGGACCAGCCCCCCTCCCTCCTTCCAGAAACTCCCCCTCTCTGGCCTTCACACCAGCTCCTGCTATAGCCCCTCTTGCGCTGGAGCCCCATAGCCCCCTCTTGGCGGCCTTCTCAGCCCCGTGTCTCTGCCTCCACACTCCCCGGTCAGTTCAGCCTCTGGTCTCTGCTGTTAATCACTCTAATGCATGCAGAGAAACCCAGTTTCCAACAATCCCCATCCTAGGCCAGACACAGCTTTAAATGGAACATCCCCTGCTGCTCCCCTGTCTGCCCTAATCCCTCCTAGGGCTGCCTGTCCCTGCGGACCACCCCTTGGTGTGAATCAAGAAAACGTGCTTTGCCCTGGGCCTGACTAGGACAGGCAGATGCAGCTGGATGGGCTGCAGGCCCTCTGCTGGGGGTCCTTGTTCAGGACACAGCTTGTACCAGTATATGTGGCGGTCCTGCCCTCTCCCCAGCCCTGCATACCTCCCACCTGCACAGCATTCACGGAATTCTCAGGCCCACTCGCAAAACACCACAGCTTCCAGCCTTTCCAGGTGGCTGCTCCAGCTGGCCCCAGGTCCCCACCCCAACCCTTCCATCTCCCATCTGTGTCCCAGGTCCATGCCACACACCTTCTGTGCCCCGTCCGTGTCCTGGGCCCCCCTTACCCTCCCTCTCTTGAGTTACTGACCTCCATCCACAGCCCAGCTGTCCTTCCTGCCCCACAGATACCCCAGATCAGCTATGCCTCCACAGCCCCGGAGCTCAGCGACTCCACACGCTATGACTTCTTCTCCCGGGTGGTGCCACCCGACTCCTACCAGGCGCAGGCCATGGTGGACATCGTGAGGGCACTGGGATGGAACTATGTGTCCACGCTGGCCTCCGAGGGCAACTATGGCGAAAGTGGGGTTGAGGCCTTCGTTCAGATCTCCCGAGAGGCTGGTGAGCTGGGGGCTCCGAGGCACCAAGGAGTCTACATAGTGTGGGCCCGGGGCCCTCAGTTGGGGCAGAAGCAGAAAGATGGGGGGCCCAGGTCCATGCTGGGCCGAGGTTGCCTGGCTGGTGCTCCATGTGGGCGGGACCTCTTTGTTTTGGACGACTCAGCCCTGCCTCAGGCTTGGCGGAGGGTGCAGGCCAGACTTCACCCCTGCAGACCCTTCAGCCAGCCTACACAGTCCTCTGCAGCGGTGGCCAGGTGGGTGTGTGGGTGGGTGGGACGGAAGCTGACTCTGGCACCCCCAACGCCCAGGGGGGGTCTGTATTGCCCAGTCTATCAAGATTCCCAGGGAACCAAAGCCAGGAGAGTTCAGCAAGGTGATCAGGAGACTCATGGAGACGCCCAACGCCCGGGGCATCATCATCTTTGCCAATGAGGATGACATCAGGTGGGACAGTGGCACAATCACCGGGCCCCTGGGGCTCTCCCTGAGGGTCCCACCCCTCCTCTTGCACATCGCCACCTTACACACTCTCCCTGCCTCCCTTTCCCCTGCTCCCCGCACCCCCCACCTTCCCTGCTGCTGCCTCTGAGTCTGGTGCCCAGGCTCAGAAGCAGCCTGGTCTGGGGAGATGCCACAAGCCCAGACTGAATAGCGCACAGAACATGTGTCTGTGTTTACAGCTCCTGGGGGTGCGGGGAGGGACCTGTGGGCAGAACCTAGTGCAGAAAATGAGCTGTGAGGGAAGGAGCCCAGGGTCCATACAGAGGCTGCGGACCCCAGCCCGAGACCCACCGGCCCGAGTTCATCTCCAGCCTAGGAGGCTGGGTGTGACGCTGGTGGAGGCATGTGGGGAGGGGCTGGCTTCGAACTGGATTTTCCCCCAAGGAGTCCCTCTGAACCCCCTGAACAGTGGGTTACAGTGGGCAGAGCAAGTGGGCAGGCCTAGGGTCAGAGGAAAGCCCAGGGAAGGTGCCCTAAATGCCCCCGGCCCCGTTTTTCCTGAGAAACAAGGATCTGGTGAGTGATTATAGAGCAGGGGAGATGGATAGAGTGGGAAGGGATGGGGGCCGAGCTGGAGGAGGCTCCCAGGCCCTCCCTCACCCCAGCCCTGCTCCTACCAGGCGGGTCCTGGAGGCAGCTCGCCAGGCCAACCTGACCGGCCACTTCCTGTGGGTCGGCTCAGACAGCTGGGGAGCCAAGACCTCACCCATCTTGAGCCTGGAGGACGTGGCCGTTGGGGCCATCACCATCCTGCCCAAAAGGGCCTCCATCGACGGTGAGTCCAGGGGCACTCCATCCCCCACCCCACACGTCTCCCCAGCACCCCCTCTTGGGGATGCTCATTTTCTGCATCTGTGTAATTGGTGCCATAATCCAGATCCCTTCTCAGATCCCCAGATCCTATGAGTCCGATCATCTGTGGACGCGTCCCTCCAAGCAGCGCTTGACTGGGATGGCGTGCGAGGAAAGCACGCTCCACTCACTGGACGGGGAGGAATTGTTGGGTTTTTGGTTTTGTTTCTTAATTTAGTGCCTGTATTTCTAGTGCTGCCAAAGACATTCTAATCTGAGGGTGAGGGTGGGAGGGAGAGAAACCAAGGATACGGAATATACCATCCTGGTGATCAGAGTGATGAGGCCCCTGCACCCCCAGTCCTACCTGTGGATCTGGATGAATCCAGCAGGAACAGATGGCTCACTTTACAATAGGATTGCTCATTTTCCCCAAGGCTGGACCGAGGACACCTTGATGACATCCTTCAGGGCTATTTTATGAAACACAGACCCTGGAAAGGCTGAGCCCTGGCTGCTAGGGCCTCTTAGCCTTAGGGGGATATATACCATCACGCCTTTTATTTCAGCTACGTTGCATCTGGGTGCAGGTGGCAGCCTGGACTGAGAGTAGTTTTAGCGATAAAGGCATCTCATCACAAGACAGGAGGTCTGAGAGTTGGTGACTTTAGGCATGGGGCAGTGAGTGAATGCGCTCTCAAAGCCCTGGGCTCTGTCCATTCCTTTGTTCCACCATTCCCTGTGGTTGCCTTGGGTCTTCCTGCTTATGGTC
Organism: Homo sapiens; assembly: GCF_000001405.40. Taxonomy (NCBI): domain Eukaryota; kingdom Metazoa; phylum Chordata; class Mammalia; order Primates; family Hominidae; genus Homo; species Homo sapiens. The sequence continues at coordinate 178,989,802 of NC_000005.10, read as the reverse complement.
TCATAGTCACAAGATGGCTGCTGAGGCTCCACCCATTACATCTTCACAGCAGCATCCTAACAGGAAAGAAGGAGCAGGGATAAAAGTCTTTCAAATGGTGAGGCTCTGAGTTTGCATCAGCATGTAAGTGCTACCCTGGAACCTCCAGTTGGCTCTGAGTCCACCAATCAGAACTTGGTCACCTGGCCACGCCTAGCTCACCTGGCCACTCCTAGCTCACCTGGCCACGCCTAACTCACCTGGCCACTCCTAGCTCACCTGGCCATGCCTAGTTCACCTGGCCACTCCTAGCTCACCTGGCCACTCCTAGCTGAAAGTGAGCAAGTGGCAGAGAGACACAGGAGAAACACAGCTGGCTCAGGTCAGCGCCACCCTCCCCCTTCTTCCCTGTCTGTAGGATTTGACCAGTACTTCATGACTCGATCCCTGGAGAACAACCGCAGGAACATCTGGTTCGCCGAGTTCTGGGAAGAGAATTTTAACTGCAAACTGACCAGCTCAGGTACCCAGTCAGACGATTCCACCCGCAAATGCACAGGTGAGAGCTGCCCAGGGTGGTGAGGGTGGGGAGGGTGGGGAGGGTGGTGAGGGTGGGGAGGGGGAAGGCGGGAGGCCGGGTTCGGTGCATGGGGGCCGGGCACACTTTCTCTGGGCATCCCTAGGACAGGCGAGGAACGCATCGGCCGGGACTCCACCTACGAGCAGGAGGGCAAGGTGCAGTTTGTGATTGATGCGGTGTACGCCATTGCCCACGCCCTCCACAGCATGCACCAGGCGCTCTGCCCTGGGCACACAGGCCTGTGCCCGGCGATGGAACCCACTGATGGGCGGATGCTTCTGCAGTACATTCGAGCTGTCCGCTTCAATGGTGAGTGGGTGCCTGCCCCCCTGCAGCAGTGAAGGACAGCTGGGGGGCTGGATTTTGCTGTGAGGCCTGGGACAACCTCAGGGTGGAAGGGCTGGGTGAGGCTGAGTGGTCTAATGGGGGTGCCTGGGGCTGAGTGCCAAAGACATGAGACAAGTTCCGGTCCCCAATTTTTAACACTGCTCCCTCCCCAGGCTTCAGTGTTCCCTGCGCTGGTTTGCACAGTTCAGATGCTGGGGAGCTTCTCTGATCCCTTCTGCCAGGAACCCCCAGTGGGTCACACCACACTCCCCTCCACTGCGCAGAGCTTGAGGGCATCTGGACCCTGGGGGTGCACGTGGGGCACAGTTAAGACTGCGTGGGGCGCCTACCCAGGGACATGCCGCCCACTCTGAGTCATGCGCCAGGCACAGGCGTGGGTCTGACCTGTCCCTTGGCACCAGGCTTGGTGTGTGGTCAGGGCTCAAAACTGTGTCTTCTGAGGAGACCCCAGTGGACTCAAGCTCTGTCCACGGTTTGTGGAGAGATGACTTTCTGTTCAATCACTATCCTTTACACAATTCAAAACTCCGCTCTTCCACTGAACACTCACTCACCACCTTCTCTCCGCCATGCTCTCTGCTAATCAATTCCATTTAATATGACTCCAGAGCATCTCTGCAAGCTGGTGGAACAAGCTTGTAAGAAAAATAGAGCTCATTGTTCAAGTCATTCCAATTTCATACTGTCACTCAGACCTCTCTCCGTGTCTGAACTCATCCTCTCGCCTGGACAGTGAAACTTTTTTCATTTTTAATTGTGATAAAATACATATAATATAAAATGTATCACCTTAACCATTTTTTAAGTGTAGAGTTCAGTGATATTAAATACATTCAGTCTGGGCGCAATGGCTCACTCCTGTAATCTGAGCACTTTGGGAGGCCGAGACAGGTGGATCACTTGAGGTCAGGAGTTCGAGACCAGCCTGGCCAACATGGTGAAACCCCATCTCTACTAAAAATACAAAAATTAGCTGGGCATGGCGACGGGTGCCTATAATCCCAGCTACTCGGGAGTCTGAGACAGGAGAATTGCTTGAACCCGGGAGGCAGAGGTTGCAGTGAGCTGGGATTGTGCCACTGCACTCCAGCCTGGGCGACACAGTGAGACTCTGTCTCTAAATAAATAAATAAATAATAAATTCACAATGTTATGCAACCATCACCACCATCTATCCCCAGAACTCTTCATCTATGAAACCATAACTCTGTATGCATTAAACACTTCCCCATCCCCTCCTCCCGCCAGCACCTGCAACCGCCATTCCACGGCCCCTCTCTATGAATTGTCTACCCTCGGTACCTCCTGTGGTGGCATCAGACGGTATTTGCGCATGTGTGACTGGCTTGTTTCACCGAGCATCATGTCCTCCAGGTCCATCCATTTTATAGCATGGGTCAGAACTGCCTTCCTTTTGAAGGCTGAATCGCATCCCATTGTGTGAATGGCCCCGTCGTGTTCGTCCATTCTTCTGTCAGTGGACGCTCGGGTTGCTTTCATCTTGTGGCTATGTGAATAACGCTGCTGTGAACGTGGCTGTACAAGCATTTCTTGCCACCCTGCTTTCTAGTCTCTCGAGTATCTACCCGGGAGTGGAACTGCTGGGTCATGTGTTTAATCTTTTGAGGAGGCTCCACACTGTTTTCTGCAGCGGCTGCAGCCTTTTCCCACCCACCGTGCACAAGGGTTCCGACTTCTCCACACGCTCACAACACTCGTTATTTTCTGGTTCTTGGCTAGAAGCCATCCCAATGGGTGAAGGGGGATCTCCCTGCGGCTTGGATTTGCACGTCCCTTATGAGCAGTGATGCTTGTTAAGCTCCTCCTTTCTCCTGCTGGTCCCTGGGGCCTCCCCAGGAGGCCAGCTCTGCTGGGCTGGAGGACCACCGAGGATGACGGACTCTCTCTCCAGGCAGCGCAGGAACCCCTGTGATGTTCAACGAGAACGGAGATGCGCCCGGGCGGTACGACATCTTCCAGTACCAGGCGACCAATGGCAGTGCCAGCAGTGGCGGGTACCAGGCAGTGGGCCAGTGGGCAGAGACCCTCAGACTGGATGTGAGTGTGCAGACCGAGCCCCAGGTGGGCATGGGCCCAGGATCCCGGAGGCAGACGCCCCAGCCTGTGTTTTGTGCGTCCCAGGTGGAGGCCCTGCAGTGGTCTGGCGACCCCCACGAGGTGCCCTCGTCTCTGTGCAGCCTGCCCTGCGGGCCGGGGGAGCGGAAGAAGATGGTGAAGGGCGTCCCCTGCTGTTGGCACTGCGAGGCCTGTGACGGGTACCGCTTCCAGGTGGACGAGTTCACATGCGAGGCCTGTCCTGGGGACATGAGGCCCACGCCCAACCACACGGGCTGCCGCCCCACACCTGTGGTGCGCCTGAGCTGGTCCTCCCCCTGGGCAGCCCCGCCGCTCCTCCTGGCCGTGCTGGGCATCGTGGCCACTACCACGGTGGTGGCCACCTTCGTGCGGTACAACAACACGCCCATCGTCCGGGCCTCGGGCCGAGAGCTCAGCTACGTCCTCCTCACCGGCATCTTCCTCATCTACGCCATCACCTTCCTCATGGTGGCTGAGCCTGGGGCCGCGGTCTGTGCCGCCCGCAGGCTCTTCCTGGGCCTGGGCACGACCCTCAGCTACTCTGCCCTGCTCACCAAGACCAACCGTATCTACCGCATCTTTGAGCAGGGCAAGCGCTCGGTCACACCCCCTCCCTTCATCAGCCCCACCTCACAGCTGGTCATCACCTTCAGCCTCACCTCCCTGCAGGTGGGTCCGTAGGCTCCCAAGGGCCAGGGCAGGGAGGGGGACTGTCCGCAACGTTACAAAGCCAAAAGGGCCAGGCACAGTGGCACACGCCTGTAGTCCCAGCACCTTTGGAGGCTGAGGTGGGTGGATCACCTGAGTCCAGGAGTTCGAGACCAGCCTGGGCAACATGGCATGACCCTGTCTCTGCAAAAAATATGAAAATTAGCCAGGCATGGTGGTGCGTGCCTGTAGTCCTAGCTACTTGGGAGGCTGAAATAGGAGGATCGCTTGAGCCCAAGAGTTGAAGGTTGCTGTGAGCCAAGATCGCACCACTACAATCCAGCTTGGGTGTCAGAGTAAGACCCTGTCTCAAAACAAAAAGATAAATGCCGTTTTTAGAGTCACTCTTTTCTATTTTGGTTCCTGTGTTGTTTTGTTTTTTTTTTTTTAGACAGAGTCTCGCTGTGTCGCCCAGGCTGGAGTGCAGTGGCACTATCTCAGCTCCCTGCAAGCTCTGCCTTCCGGGTTCACGCCATTCTCCTGCCTCAGCCTCCCGAGTAGCTGGGACTACAGGCGCCCGCCACCACGCCCGGCTAATTTTTTGTATTTTTAGTAGAGACAGGGCTTCACCGTGTTAGCCAGGATGGTCTCGATCTCCTGACCTCGTGATCCGCCCACCTCGGCCTCCCAAAGTGCTGGGATGACAGGCGGGAGCCGCTGCGCCCAGTGAGTTTTTTTTTTTTTTTAAGGCCACAGGAAATGGAGCCCCTCCCCTCCTGTGACAGCAGCTCAGTTAGGGCCGCCATCTCCCCTGCTGGGTCCTTGAAGGAAAACGGGGCAGTCAGGTGGGGAGTGTGGGCCTCCAGAGATCTTTCTGTACAACAGTGAAGTTATTTTCTAAACCAAAATGCTCTTCTACAATTTGGCTCACATATGGAAACAGGTCAAAGAGCTATCTGACCGGTTTTCCTGTTTCCACAAGGGAGTCTCTGCTGCCCTGCTCCCTGGGGCAGTGTGGATGAGAGGCACAGGGTCCAACATTTTACTGTGGAAGAGCATCGAATTCCATCCAGTGGCCAGCGTTTCGTGCTGGCCGTTAAATAATGGAGCTCCTTTGGGGGATTTTCCTAAGACAGTAAAGTTATTACAGCCTTGGAGACAACTCTTGGAGTCTGGGGCGCCCTGGATGTTTTCTGTGTGAAGAGTACGAGAGACAGATGGCTTGGGGAGGGTGACCTGGTGTGACACTGCAGGGCCAGCTGGGTTCTCAGGGCCAGGTGGAGGGTGGCCTCAGTGCGAACACCTGCTCACCCGTTTGGAGCACTCCCGGTGCTGTCCACTCCCGGCGAGCCCCTTCTCTATTCGTTCCACACACGCCACGTGCCTCGGGTCATGCAGTTCTCCGTGACTAGGAGGTGCTCCCGTCTTCCTCCACGTAACAGGGCCTGAGTGTCCCCTGGTCAGGCCCAGGGTCTCCGTGTGCCGCACATCCTGAGAAGGTGCCCTCTACGTCCCGGCCTGAGGTGCTCCTGCTCCCCCACCCTCAGGTGGAGATGCTTAGACCCCGTTGGGGACCCCCAGCTCTCCTCCCCAGCCTCAGCCACTGCCCGCCCCACACTGTACCCTCTTTTCCAGATACAAGGGATCTTTAAAAACACACAAGCCTGCAACTGGCCTAGGTGTTTTGCCATGACTACCACGTCATGACGGGCTGCAAAATGGCATCTCACTGTGGCTTCAATTCGCCTGCACTTAGCACCAGTGCGCCGGCCATGGGGCTTTCCTCTCCTGGGCTCAGCCTGTTCCTGTCCTTTGCTCATTTGCTGTTATTTTGCAGGAGTCCGTTCCGAGTGAGGCGTGCTCGCTCGCTCCCCACTCCACGGGCTGCGGCATCTGTGGGCCGTTTTGGTGGTTACCGCTGTGCAGCCCTGGGCTTGCATTTTTGTTTCTCATGAGCAACTTTTTTTTTTTCCACCTGGAGCCTTGTTCTAGTAGGAACTTCCAAACTTATTTTGGAAGTTGGTCTCGATCTCCTGACCTCGTGATCCACTTATTTGGAAGGTCCTTTGTTCAGGGGTCTGCTGCCTTTGGGAGAAGCACAAAAAGCTGCTGCTTCTGGGTGGGCAGATGACTGCAAAGCATCCCTTCCAGCAGGATCACATGGCCCTGCTCCAGGTGCTCGGCATGGCACTGGCATGCAGGCTGGATTCCAGCTCCACCCCTGCCCCCAATCAGGCGCTCTCGTACAGTGAACAACCAGCACGAACGTGTGGGGCAGCCCTTCCAGGGTCCCGCCTTTATGCAGGTGGCTTCGTTCCTGTTCCCCAGCTTTCCTTGGCTTGAGGTTGTGCTTCCTGTCATGTGAGGGAGTGGTAACTCCATCTCCTCCCTGTGAGGGCCTGCACAGACTCCAGTACTCCTCGGCATCAGCTCCCATTCCTGCTCCTCCCCACTGAGTGCTCCTTTGTTTCTCTTGCCTGTGGCGTGCCCTGATTTTGAAGCTCAGTACACGTGAGGAGGCTAGAGAGGCGATGCGAGTAGGGCCTCAGTTCCAGAGCTTCCGGCCACATCCATCTACCTTGAAGGGGCGCAGTAAATGGCATTGGTAATGGCTAGAATGCAGGAAGAGGACACCAAGCTGCCCCTTATGCACACTGCACTGATGTTGCCAACATATACGGGCGGCACAGCCCTTCTCCGCAGCTGCCAGGTCACGGGCCTTTGGACGGACCCCTCTTGGGCTGCCCCTGCCTGGGCTGCCATCCCCTCTTCTCCACTGAGTGCTCCTGAGAGCCACCACGAAGAGGTGGAGCATCCCCTCCATAGGCCAGAGCCTCAAGGGGATCCTGACCCGCAGGGGCCTCTGTCAGGGCTGGAATGGATTTGTCCCTGGAAAGTGCTGTGTCTGATGCAGTGTTGGCTCCTGCAGGTGGTGGGGATGATAGCATGGCTGGGGGCCCGGCCCCCACACAGCGTGATTGACTATGAGGAACAGCGGACGGTGGACCCCGAGCAGGCCAGAGGGGTGCTCAAGTGCGACATGTCGGATCTGTCTCTCATCGGCTGCCTGGGCTACAGCCTCCTGCTCATGGTCACGTGCACAGTGTACGCCATCAAGGCCCGTGGCGTGCCCGAGACCTTCAACGAGGCCAAGCCCATCGGCTTCACCATGTACACCACCTGCATCATCTGGCTGGCATTCGTGCCCATCTTCTTTGGCACTGCCCAGTCAGCTGAAAAGGTAATGAGGTCCCCAGGAGGTCTCGCTGCCTGTTTCCTGCCTGTCAGGCTGGTCGATTCATTCATGAGATTAAATGCTTGTTCGTGCTTTTGTTTATCCCGTATCTGGCTGCTTGTTCATTCACTCATTCCCTTCTTACTTTGTTCATTCATTCACTTTTCCAAGCTTCTAACCCCTCTTCTTAACTTCCACTCTTCTTTTTTTCTTTTTTTTTTTTATCATTTTCATTTCTTTGAGAGATATTGCCTCACTCTGTCACCCAGTTACAGTTAGCTTGTTTTTTTTAATTCAAGTTCTTCATATGCTTTTTTTTTTTTTTTTTTTTTTTTTTTTGAGACAGAGTCTCACTCTGTTGCCCAGGCTGGAGTGCAGTGGCGTGATCTTGGCTCACTGCAAGCTCCGCCTCCTGGGTCAAGTGATTCTCCAGCCTCAGCCTCCCCCGTAGCTGGGACTACAGGTGCCTGCCACCACGCCTGGGCAATTTTTGTAATTTTAGTAGAGATGGGGTTTCACCATATTAGTCAGACTGGTCTCAAATTCTTGACCTCAAGTGACCCATCTGCCTCGGCCTCCCAAAGTGCTGGGATGACAGGCGTGAGCCACTGCGCCCAGGCTTCATGTGCTTTATAACTGCCAACCCATTAATGCGTCAGCCCATTGCTGCATCATTTATTCACGTATGCGGCAGAATATTTTATGCACCTGTCATCCATTTATTTGCCCATCTGCTCCTGAAGTTTGTCTCTGCCCATTTATTCATTTGTATGTATTTGAAACGTGCTCATTCACTGACATGCCCCGGCTCCCGCTTCCCCAGGTGTCTCTCTGTTAATAACCCCTCCTCACCCCTCCCTCCTGCCCACACCAGAGCTGCATGGAGGCTGCCAGCCCCTCAGGCGCGGGGCCCCTGCTCATACTGTTGTCCTGGTCTAAGTGCTCATTCCCAGTTCCCCAACTGAAACAGACTCAGCTCCAGAGTATGTGGTGAGGACTGTGTGGAGCGGGGCAGGGAGAGCAGGGCTGAGTCCCATCTGGTCCCCTCTTCCATGGCCTAGATCTACATCCAGACAACCACGCTAACCGTGTCCTTGAGCCTGAGTGCCTCGGTGTCCCTCGGCATGCTCTACGTACCCAAAACCTACGTCATCCTCTTCCATCCAGAGCAGAATGTGCAGAAGCGAAAGCGGAGCCTCAAGGCCACCTCCACGGTGGCAGCCCCACCCAAGGGCGAGGATGCAGAGGCCCACAAGTAGCAGGGCAGGTGGGAACGGGACTGCTTGCTGCCTCTCCTTTCTTCCTCTTGCCTCGAGGTGGAAGCTGTATAGAGCCCGGGTCCACGGTGAACAGTCAGTGGCAGGGAGTTTGCCAAGACCATGCTCCGCGTCGGTGGGGCTGGCCTTGAGAAGGAACTGGACCCAGCTCTACCCCGATTCCAGCATGTGAGCTTCATGCTTCCTCACCACAGACCAGACTCGCTTCCCATGGTGGGAAACAGCCACCGAGAAGGTTCTAGCTCTAGAAAGGGACTAAACTTATTCTCTCATCCGAAGTCCAAAGAGGATGATGAAGCCCTGGGCTTTGCCTGGTTTGCGGGAGATTTCCTCCCCTCAGTCAACCCCCATAACCTGGGGATTGGGCAGTGTGGAAGAACGTGTAGACCCCAGAATGAAACATGGGGTTGGAGTGGAGGAGGAGCTGTCTCAGCAAGAGGAGACCTGGGGCTGTGCATCTGGATGGAGGCACTCAGGCCTGGGTAGGATTCCTCTGGCACGGAGGGAGAGACCCTGGGTGAGACCCCTGTGAGCATGGGAAGGGCCTGCAGTGGGCGCGGGAGTGAGCTGAGGAACTGGGGTGCGCCCCCATGAGATTCCCAATGCCATGGGCTTTCCCCCATCCCCCCGGGATTGGGCAAGGTCAGACTTAGAGTACAGCTGTTTTCCTCCCCTCTGTGTACTCCCTTAAATCACCCCAACCTTGGCCAGGCATGGTGGCTCACACCTGTAATCCCAGCACTTTGGGAGGCCGAGGCAGGTGGATCACCTGAGGTCCGGAGTTCGAGACCAGCCTGGCCAATGTGGTGAAACCCTGTCTCTACTAAAAATACAAAAATTAGCCAGGTGTGATGGTGGGTGCCTGTAATCCCAGTTACTTGGGAGGCTGAGGCAGGAGAATCGCTTGAACCTGGGAGGTGGAGGTTGCAGTGAGCTGTGATTGTGCCACTGTACTCCAGCCTGGGTGACAGAGCGAGACTCTGTCTCAAAAAAACAAAACAAAAAAACACCAAAAAAACCCCCAAACCTGAAGAAATTCAGATACACGTGTGTAATGTTAGTGATGTGAGAACAAGGAGCAGGGGTGCATTTGTGTTGTGTTCGGGTTGGGGATGGGTTTAGGAGCTCCAGGTTGGGAGCAGTGACAGAGAGTCATGGCCGTGGTGAGGGTGAATCCCAAGTGGATGGCTCAGGACGGGTATGGAAACCCTTCATTCCTCATAGGTACTGGGAAGTCCATTTGCAAGCTGAGCGCCAGGCCTGGGGAGGAAGAGGCTTGGGCTGCAGATGCACGCACATTTGTTTTTCACTGATAGTTTTTACAAAAAGCTTGGTTTAAGTTATGGAGTTTTATGTCCCTGGGAGTAGAATTTACATTTGTTAAATTGACCACTGTTTAAGATCAGTATACATTCTCTAGTCTGTGATGTCTGGAGCTAGTTTTGAGGGTGAACCACACTTTATCCAACATACAAACTTTCCCATGCAGCTTCTCTGGTGCGCAGTTGGTTTTGACCGTGGGACTAGGTGCTTCTGCAGGTTTTAAGTAATTAACTTAAAAGCTTCTCCTCTGAGAAACATTTCTGTTGCGCTACTGACTCTCCTTCTCCACATTTGTTGTGTTCCTAGGGCTTCTCTATAGTGCACATTAGGACGTTTCATTTGTTGCTGAATGCTTTCCAGAATTATTTATTCCATAGGGTTTCTCTCCTGTGCAGCTCTCTCATGGGTAATGGGGCGTGTTTTCTTGCCAAAGGCGGTTCCACCCTCGTGATTGTATAGGGCTCTTCTCCTGTATGAACTCTGAGATCAGTGAGCTCTGATCTCCAAGGGAAAGTTTTCCTGCATTTGCTGTTTTCTCATGTCTCTCCCAGTGTGAATTCTTTGGTGTGCAGTGCGCTCTGGCTTCTAGCTGAAAACTTTTCCACAGTTTTACATTCATGTGGTTTTCTCCACTGTGAACTCTGTGATTCAGAATCAGAAGCAGTTCTTAGTAGAGGCATTTCTACACTGATTGCACTGAGGATTTCTCCCCAGTGTGAAGTTTCTGGCATAGAGTCCTGGCTTCCCGCAGACGACTTTCACACTCTGCCATGTTCATGCCTGTGGGCCTCTCTGGCAGGAACTCTGATGCACCGCGAGGCCCATGTACTCCTGTGGCTTTCTCACATTCGGTCTACTTGCAGGGTATCTCCACAGCATGCACCATTCTGGGTACAGGGGGACATCCTCTGTTACTGAAGATGTTGTCATATTTAGTACCTTCACAAGGTTTCTCTCCTTCCAGAATTTTCTGATGTACACAAATAACTGACTTCCACAAGAGGGCTTTTCCACACTCGGTGTGTGCATACAGTTTCTGCCTGTGATCATTTCTTTATGTTATTATTTTATTTTTTCGAGATAGGGTCTTGCTCAATTTCTTAGGCTGGAGTGCAGTGGCACGATCATAGCTCACTGAAGTTTCGACCTGGGCTCAAGCAATCCTCCCGCTTCAGCCTCCTGAGTAGCTGGTGCGCACGACCATACCCAGCTAATGTTTTATTTTTTGTAGAGACGAGGTCTCACTATGTTGCCCAGGCTGGTCTCGAACTTCTGAGCTCGAGCGATCCTCCTGCCTCCACCTCCCAAAGTGTTCGGATTACAAACGTGAGCCATCGCACCTAGCCTCTTTGATCATTTCTGTGGTGTTCAGTGGAGGTTGACAGCTCCCTAAAGATTTTCCTGTTTTTTTGCATGCATGGGTTTGAATTCTTTGAGGTCCAATTTATTTGGACCCCTGAATAAAGTTTTGTGGGTTTTCTTCTATGTGTGGAATTTATAAGGCATTCTTCCAGTGTGGTTTCTCTTATGTCGAGTGAGAGCTGACCTGCACCGAAGGTTTTGTCCCATTTGTTGCCCTTGAATTATTTGTATGAATTATATGTTCCAGTGAAAATGGAGTTCTGGGTTGGAGGCTTATTCCATGTTTACACAATTAAAATTGCAGTGTTCCTCTCTGGGATGAGAGCTCTAAAGCAGAGTAAGATTACGTTCTGATGTAAGCTTTAACCACCTATTTATAAGGTCTCACCTGTGGTCCACTGTGTTGAGACTTCTACAGAAGAGCTTCTGTATAGTAACCATTTTCTTAGGCTGTCTCACTTGTGTGAATCTTCTGACACATTTATTATAGCTTTGTCCCATTTCTTATCCTTTTTGCTCTTTAGAAATTTCCCTTTAATTTATTACATTCATTGCTTACTGTAAAGAGTCCAGGTAACTGACTTTATTCAGTTACTTCCTGTTCAATAAATTTAACTTTTCCCAAAAGTTTGACTTAGGTCTTCGGTTGCTTCTTTATACAGATATTGTTTCATAAAACTTCTTCAAAAATGGAATAAAATGCACAATTCCAAGTGAATCTTCTCATCATTTTATAGAATGAAACTGCTTCACAAATACTCTTTGTTATATTGATACCTTTGTTTCTAAACGTGAAAAATTCCAAACTAAATATTTTCTATCTCTTGGGCTTTGACAGGGGAAAAACTGCTGTAGTATGGACAGCCAGAGTGGAATACTGATGCTTATTACAAGTAGCTTGGGGGGTTTCAAAAATGACATTCCACCCTGTGGAGAAAAGGCTGAAGAAATGTAAGGGATAGGAACCAAGAAGGAATAAGGCTCTGATAAGAAGAAACTGACCAGTTGGATAGAATTCTAAAAGGCACGCAAGGGTGTAGAGAAGTAAATTAGTAAAAGGACTGGATCTGGCTGAGTGCAGTGGCTCATGCCTGTAATCTTGGCACTTTGGGAGGCTGAGGTGAGTGGATCACTTGAGGCCAGGAGTTCAAGACCAGCCTGGCCAACATGGCGAAACACCATCTCGGCAAAACACCATCTCTACTAAAAACACAAAATTAGCTGGGCATGGTGGCACATGTCTGCAATCCCAGTTACTCGGGGGGCTGAGGCTGGAGAATCGCTTGAACCCGGGAGGCGGAGGTTTCTGTGAGTTGAGATCGTGCCATTGCACTCCAGCCTGGGCAACAAAGAAAAACTCTGTCTCCAAAAAAAAAAAAAAGAAGACTGAATTTGAAAATTTTAAGCCTCATCACTTCATTTGTGGATTACTGTTTTACTCTATTCAGGCTGCTATAAAAGAGTACCATAGACTCAGTGGCTTCTAAAAAACAGACATTTCTCATAGTTCTGGAGGCTGGAAAGTCCAAGAGCAAGACACCAGTGGATTTGGTGAGGGCTGCCTGCTTGTTCTTAAACAGCACTCCCTTGCTGTGTCCTCATATGGTGGGAAGTGTGAGGGCACCCTGGGGTCTCTTTTATAAGGGCTCTAATCCCATTCCCGAGGGCTCTACTTTCATAACCTCCCAAAGGCCCCAGCTCCAAATACCATACAATGGGGGTTAGGATCTCACCATATGCATTTTGGAGCAACATGAATATTCAACCTATAGCAATTATTCTGTCAGAATACTAACTAGTCTTTCTGCTTCTTGTATCTTTTCCCTCTTATTCATCCTACATAGTATTATAAAAATCACCGTTCCATGGCACCGTGGTGCTGTGTCCCATTGCTAGGGTCCCAGCCATCTCCTGTCACCTCCATCTGGCTGTGGTTTATTCTCAAATTTACCTGCAGACTCTCCTAACAGAAACAGCAGAGAGGGCACATTAGTCTAGGGGAACACGGCCCCAGGCACTGTGCACTGATACAATCTGCCAGATTGGGTCTGATCAGAGCTCTCAAATACTGAATATACCTGTAGTATCAACATCTGAGTTATTTTTCCCATTCTGGTCTGCAGACAGGTAAGACAGGTAAAACTTCCAGGGCACACAGACCTTGTCTTGCCCATGCCCTGTGTACTTCTTTAAGTCAGCTTTCACAGCTTGACCTTGCACTGTGTCATGGTTAAGTCTTCTTGAGGTCAACTCCAGCTCTGCTAGATGAGTGACCTTGGGCAAGATACTCATTCCTCCCACAGTCACTAAAAGCCAGAGTCTCCTTAATGCACCCTGCAGAGGTGCCCAAATTGCTGGCCCCATTAGCCTACCATTGATCCTCCCAGTCCTACCAATCACTGCCCACACAGACCCCACTCATTAACCCAGCCCCACAGCTGAGCAGTCCCAGGACCCCATCTCACTCCCAGCTAGCCCCTCCTCACTGCCCCCCACAGACTGCTTATTCATTTTGGTCCCACAGGTACCCTTGGGTGCTTACTCTGTGCTAAGCACCTGGGATACATCAGCAGACAAAATAGACAGGAACTGCTTCCCTCATAGGACTTGCACCCTAGTGGTGGAGACACACAATAAACAACATACAAAACTAACCAATAAATGACACTGTATGTTAAAGGGTGATGTGCTGTGGACAAAAGAAAACAGCAGAGCAGGGTACAGAGAATGGGGCAGCTGGCGGGGGATGGCTGCAATTTTGAATAGGGCAATCCAGTACAGGCTTCATCTGAAGGAGGTGGGGAGTGAGCCATGGGGATATCTGGGGGATGGGGTCCTGCAGGCGGAGTGGCAAGTGCAAGGCCCAAGGGCAGGGGTCGGCCTGGTGTTTTGGGGACCAAGCAAAGAGAGTGGCATGGAGGAGTAGGGTGAGCAGGGGAGAAAATGTGAGGAAGGCAGCAGAGTGGAGCAGTCAGGGCTCTCCAGAGAACAGAGCCCAAAGGATCAACAGATTAGATGTAGATATAGATTAGATAAAGATATAGAGAGAGAGTTTTGCTCCGAAGGCCTTCAACTGATTGGAAGAGGCCCACCCAGATGATTGGGGGTAAATCTCCTTTACCTAAAGTCAGCTGATTGTAGAGGTTACCCACATCTACAAAACACACCTTCACAGCAACATCTAGATCAGTGTTTGATTAAGTAACTGAGTACCATAGCCTGGCCAGGTGACACATCAAGCTAACCGTCACCTGAGGCACTGGGGTATGTATACCATGTGTGGCCCTGTAGGCCAAGGCCACTAAAATCAAGGACTTTAATTTACTCGGGGTGAGAAGAGGAGACACTGGAGGGTTTTAATAACAGTTAGATGGTCTGATGAACAAAAGGACCACTCTGGCTACTGTGTTGAGAATGTTTTAGCAACATCTTTTGTACACATGTCTTTTCAGAGTATATTACATGCAGAATAGTGTAGTGGACACCTTTATTCATTGAAACAACACATCTTAATCATGCACCAAGCTGCACTCTTGAAACATCTTCTGTGCACGTGTTTTCAAAAAGTGTTTCACATGCAGAGCAGTTGTAGTGGTCACATTCATTCACTGGAGTAATACTGCTCTCAAACGTGCACCACTGGCATACTTAGAAACATCTTTTTTTTGTTTTTGAGACAGAGTCTCACTCTATACCCCAGGCTGGAGTGCAGTGGCGTGATCTGAGCTCACTGCAGCCTCCACCTCCCGGGTTCAAGTGATTCTCCTGCCTCAGTCTCCTGAGTAGCCCGGCTAATTTTTGTATTTTTAGTAGAGACGGAGTTTTGCCATGTTGGCCAGGCTGGTCTTGAACTCCTGACTTCAGGTGATCGGCCTGCCATGGCCTCCCAAAGTGCTGGGATTACAGGTATGACGCACTGCCCCCGGCCAGAAACATCTTTTGATGTGTCGTTATATTTTGGGAAAAGAATAAAAAGGAAGAGAGAGAAGAGGTGAGCAGAAATTTGGCAGCCAGAGTGACCAATTCCTGAGATCCGTGGTGGTCCAGCTTATTGGGTAAGGGTTTGGGTTCTATCACAAAGCTTCACATTTAAAACCCTTCTCTTAACTCTCATGTTGTGATCTTGGACAAGCTACTTAAGTCAAAGACTCCTTGTCTGTCAAGTAAGTATGATACTCATATCTAGCTGATAGGTAATCATCCATCCCTACAAACCTGAAGGTTTTTATAGAAATTTCATGGCATAATGTAGGAACAATGCACAGTGCCTGGCTCATAACGAGTGCTCAATGAACCTCTCTCTCATGCAGTAATGGTAAGTACAGAAACCATTAGAGGCCGGGCGCGGTGGCTCACGCCTCTAATCCCGGTACTTTCAGAGGCCAAGCTAGGTGGATCACGAGGTCAGGAGATCGAGACCATCCTGGCTAACACGGTGAAACCCCGTCTCTACTAAATATACAAAAAATTAGCCGGGCATGGTGGCGGGCGCCTGTAGTCTCAGCTACTCAGCAGGCTGAGGCAGGAGAATCGCTTGAACCCCAGAGGCGGAGACTGCAGTGAGCCAAGATCGCGCCAGTGCACTCCAGCCTGGCGACACAGCGAGACTCCATCTCCAACAACAACAACAACAACAACAACCACAACCACAACAACCACAACAACCACTAGAAAGGCTAACACAAGTTCATGACTAAAGAAAACCTAAAAGACAAGAAGGACCAACCATGACCTGCTTCTCAAGGAATAACCATTGATGCATCCTTTACCTATCTTATCGCCAACTCGGATGAATTCTTGTACCAGCTGCATAACTATACTCCCAAGATCCAGTTTCTCTCTAACTTCAGGCATCCACGTTTTCCTGCCATAGACTCTTGTAACAAACCTCTTTCCTAATAAATCTGTTTAGTCATGACATCATCTTCACCGCACCATCCCAGCCCAACCCCACTGTCTACTTCATAAGTTTAAACTATGACCCTGGTGACAAAAGCCTCCAGGTTTCATTCTCTGCCTATGTACACACTGATATATAAAGAATGGCAGAAGTAATATAAATGGATAGAATTTTTTAAATTCTTCAGTCGACCTTTTTTTTTTTTTTTTTTGAGATGAAGTCTTGCTCTGTCGCCCAGGCTGGAGTGCAGTGGCGCGATCTCGGCTCACTGCAAGCTCCGCCTCCTGGGTTCAGGCCATTCTCCTGCCTCAGCCTCCCGAGTAGCTGGGACTACAGGCGCCCGCCACCACACCGGCTAATTTTTTGTATTTTTTAGTAGAGACGGGGTTTCACCGTGTTAGCCAGGATGGTCTCAATCTCCTGACCTTGTGATCCGCCCGCTTCGGCCTCCCAAAGTGCTGGGATTACAGGCGTGAGCCACTGCGCCCGGCCCAGTCAACCTCTATTTTTTTTAATCAGTAAAGACACTAAAAACTGGAGGATAAAAGATTTGCCACTAGGTGTATTACTGAGGTGAATTAGCAATTGAACTTCAGGTGGTTAAATACTTTTTCCAACTTTGGAATTTCTTCTTCACTGCAAGGAAAATTAATTGAGAAAGAAAGAAAAATAATTGGAAACTTTTCCATTTTTTAATGCTCTGGTAAAATGTACATTATTATAGCAATTATCTGCAGCTTGGAAATTTGAAATACAAAGCCCAAAACCAGACAATAGCTTCTTCCATTTCAAGTCCTGCCAAGGTCCCCTGCATGAACTAATGGGCCTGTGTGGTCTTGCTGCTTCAGCTGACAGAAGAAAGGAAAGGAATGGGAGGGGAGAGGAGGGAAGGGGAGGTGTGGGGGAGAGAGAGAGAGAGGGACAGAGACAGAGAGAGACAGCAAAAGGAAGGAAGGAAGGAAGGAGGGAGGGAGGTAGGGAGGGAAAGGAGAGGAACTGCAGCCGGATCTGCTGTCAGCCACCACGATCAGAAAGGCCTCTGGGTTTTTTTTTTTTTTTACCTATTTACTATTAGGAAAGAGGTTTGTTACAAGAGTCTATGGCAGGAAAACGTGGATGCCTGAAGTTAGAGAGAAACTGGATCTTGGGAGTATAGTTATGCAGCTGGTACAAGAATTCATCCGAGTTGGCGATAAGATAGGTAAAAACTGCTGCCTTTCCAGTGAAACAGGTCCTCGGGGTCAGCACTCCGCCTGCCCTTCCCCCACATCTTCCCCCTGCTCCTGGTTCTCTCACCCCCACGTGGCTCAGCCTCAGGCCTGGCCCAGAAAGTGTGGATCTGAGAAGGGGGTGAGCCACCAAAGGCCGCAGCCTCAGCCTCAGCTGCGTCGGGCCTGGGGTCATCTGTGGTTTGCCTGCGTGGGACCTTACCACACCCTCTCTTCTTTGGAGAAAGACCCTGGGTTTTTCTTGTGGACCCCTCACTTCTACTCTTGGATCATGTGGTATGGGTGAACCTCACCTCCTTAGGCTCCAGGTGAGCACGTGGCCCCAGCCCTCCCCACCCACCAATGCCAGGCAGCACCGACTTGTCCATTAGGTGCAGTAGGGACAGTGCCTGGGGCCCAGAATGCTTCTAGGGGCTCATGGAAATGTTTTAAGTTCTCCCCAAATTGGAAAGAAAAATGACCTTTTAGGGTCAAAGATTTTGTCTTTATACCAACACAGTTGTAAAATAGATTGTAAAATGTTGTATAGTCATAAAATAGTTGTGAAATATATTGTGTATATATTTAAAATTTTTCTGTATATTATATTTTAGCCAGGTGCGGTGGCTCACACCTGTAATCCCAGCACTTTGGGAGGCCAAGGTGGGCAGATCACTCAACATCAGGAGTTCGAGACCAGCCTGGACAATATGGTGAAACCCCATCTCTACAAAAATACAAAAAATTAGCCAGGTGTGGTGGTGCATGCCTGTAATCCCAACTACTAGGGAGGCTGAAGCAGGAGAATCACTTGAACCCAGGAGGCTGAGTTTACAGGGAGCCGAGATTGCACCATTGTGCTCCAGACTGGGTGACAGAGTGAGACTCCATCTCAAAAAACAAACAAACAAACAAACAAAAAACAAACCTTTTGGCTGGGGACAGACAGAGCCGCCCTTCCTGGGGCTGGCCAGTTCTTCTTCTTTTTTTTTTTTCAGATGGAGTCTCGCTGCCCAGCCTGGAGTGCAGTGGCGCCACCTCAGCTCACTGCAAGCTCCACCTCCCGGGTTCACACCATTCTCCTGCCTCAGCCTCCCAAGTAGCTGGGACTACATGCGCCCGCCACCACACCCGGCTAATTTTTTGTATTTTTTTTTTTTTAGTAGAGATGGGGTTTCACTGTGTTAGTCAGGATGGTCTCAATCTCCTGACCTCGTGATCTGCCCGTCTCTGCCTCCCAAAGTGCTGGGATTACAGGCATGGCCACCGCGCCCAGCCGGGGCTGGCCAGTTCTTAAGAGACAGCAAACACTGAGCTGGGCACGTCTTCGATATGTAGTAACCAGCCAGAGCCAGGCCTCCTCTCTCAGGCCCACACACCCCAGAAGCAACATTCCTCTGCCTTCATCACCCCAGGGCCGAGCACCAGGCACCTAGGGACACCCCCATCCTTATAGCTTAGAGCTTACTGAAATGACACAAACTAGCCAGTCTAAACAATTCACCCACCCTGCCTTGCCTTTCCCTCAGACACCCAAAGAAGGCCCTGGCTTCATGCTTCCCCCTACTCCCCGCCGACTCCTGTCTTCTGCCTCCTGAACACTCAGGTGCCTCGCCCACATGGCCCTGTGTGGCCTGCCCTGCCTCCTGTCTCTAGGAATATTGAGTACATTTGTTATCCCGAGCCTCTCCTCTGCCTCTTTTGGCTCAATCTCACTGACTACCTCATAACAATACAAAACAGGATGGACGTAACGGTTTCATGCAATTGTGAGGATTAAATGAATGAATATACGCAAAGTTCTTACAACAGCATCTGGTGCCAGGCGTGGCCTCACATGTGAACTGCTGGCCCCGGTGATGGGAAACAGCTCTTTACATTCCACAGCATGAACACGCTGCTTTCCAGGACCACGTGGGGCTTCGATGGTCATTGTGGGGGGCTCGGGCCAGGCTGGCTACAGAGAGAAACACTTGGAATGCTTTTGGCCATGCATTAGTGTCATCTAGATAACCAGGTGACAAAAATGCAACTTGTACATCTTAGAAACTGGGCACTTTTCTCATTTTATTTTCAGAAAGACACACTGATGAATAATTATTGTTAACAATTTTTTAAGGATAGTGACGCGGCTGAGGCAAGTGGATCACGAGGTCAGGAGTTCAAGACCAGCCTGACCAACATGGTGAAACCCCGTCTCTACTAAAAATACAAAAATTAGCCGGGCGTGGTGGTGGGAACCTGTAATCCCAGCTACTTGGGAGGCTGAGGCAGGAGAATCGCTTGAAAGAAAGAAAAAAAAGACAGTGACATGTGGTACACAGGGTGGCAGACGGAACACAGGGAGTGTGAGTACCACCCAGTGCTGGCACCTGCAAAGGACCATCAGCACCGCCGAGAGGTCCTTGAGTGATCAGAAACAACCAAGCCTTGCGTTCTTTTCCCTTCACAAACTGTTACAAAAATATTTAAATTGCCAAAGATATATTTAGCAAGAGTTGAGGTGGGCCAAGAAGCAGGGAGCCCTCCCACTGCGACACAGATGGGGGTGAGAGATTGACGTCTCCATGTTGTACTGCCGACTAAGCCAGTGCTACAGGGGAGGGTGGGGCAAAGAGCGAAGGAAAGGAGAGGAATCAGATAAGGGGAGGCTATGGCGTTCTTGGATTAATTTTGAATTAAATTGTTTTCTCCATCAAAAGCACTCAGTTTAAAGCAATTTTGTTCCAAGACTCTGAGGCTCGGCCACAGTAACCTGGAAGCCTGAGTCTGCTGCAGGGACAAATGCTGTTCTAGAAGCAGTTAGTGAATATGGAGGAAGGTAACGTCTTAGAGAGGGCGCTGTCAAAGCCAGGCAAACAGGCAGGCAGGGAGAAAGAACCCAGATGACAAATCAGTCAGCTGGAGATGAGGGGCACCCGGCAGGAGACGGGCAGAGGAATCTGAAAGGGGAAATCCAAAGCAACTGTTTTTTTTCGGTAACAAGGAGGCAGTTTCAGTGGCTGTTCCCAGAAGCCCATAGAAATGAAGAACCTATCAGTCTAGATGCCAATTCCCTTCTCAAACTGGGCAGAGTGGAGCTGGCACTGTGATGGGTCTCGGAACGCTCCGAGGTGGGAGGAGAGGCCAGGAGCTGCTTCTCAGGCTCTTACCTTTTTCTATGGCCCAGGTGAGGGGCGGGGAGACTGGCCTCATGTGAAGGTCATGGTCGTGGTGTACCAGAGCAGTCTTGTGTACTACATGAAGCAGGCGCAGGCTGGACGTGTGAAGACAGAGCTGCTGAAGGTGGCACATCACCAGGTGGCCAAGTCTGTCCCTGAAGAGTCCCAAATCGTGGTCCTTCATCTTGTCACAGCTGGGTATGTCGACATGGCCATTAGGACTACAAGAGCAAGGTATGGAATGAACTGCTCTTTCTAGGAAACACTGGTTCTTTGGGGATTAACCCAGCTGAAGGTGGGGCACAGAAAACTCCCTCTCAGTAAGTACTGAAATGTCTAACACCACACAGATCAGCTGGTAGAGAAGACTGTGGCTGAAAAAGTCTTACTGCAGGGTCCTCAGAAATGTACTTTTAGGGGTTGAGCTGGGGCAGGTGAGAATGCCCAGGTAGAGAGCAGTATCATCCACGTGAGAAAAGTATGCCTGGGACTCAGGCAGTGTCCCCTCCCCTAGTCGAGAAGGCCGTGCAGTGAGCTCGTCATCCTACAGTGTAATACAGTAAAGCCACTGCCTGGCCAAGTACTAGTACCATCAATATATTCAAGTCAGCCTGGGCGTATCTAATAGGCCAGTGACGTACTTTTTGCCTTTCCAGACAGGGATGAGTGAACAGGCATCTCGGAGGACTGATTTCATGAAAACCCAAGCCTGATGAGAGGCGAACTCAGGGAGAGTGCACTGTCTTCTCAGATGGGGGCCTTCAGCCTGCACTTAATGCCGCTGACGCTAGTTCCTGGAGCCGCGGCTGAGGTGAATGAGACTCAAGTGGCTGCACGCCTTGGTCCTGGCTCAACGGTAGGCACATACCAAGTAGTGGTAGTTCTCATGCGTTCATTACAGATAGACAAAACCACCAACCAACTCAGCTTAGAAACGTGCTTCTCAGGGATTCAAGGTAAGGGGGTGGTAGTTAAGACCTGGCACATTACATGGATGGGGTGAAGACAGACATCTGTAGCAGTGAACGTGGTTTTTTCAGGTTTACTCTGGAATCTGAGGGTGTCAGCTGCGTGAAGCTGCAGATGAACTTCTGAGGACATGGGACACAAGCAATCCCAAGAAACCTCTTGAAATACTGCTTCACATGCAGCTTAATAGGGAAGAAAGTCTGAGTTGCTGATCAGCTAACAGGAGATGCTGGCCCACAAAGGTGGCCTTTATTAGATGAAGGCTGAATTTAGATTACTTGGACTTTGAAGCTGCTGGAAGCTTCCAAGTCTATGTTGCAACCCAGAGCCCACTGAGTTCTACCATGATATAGAATATCCTCTTCTGTAACATGGGGGTGAGGTGCTCCATTCTGAGGGGTCAGGGGGTTGCTCAACTTGACGGACAGCACTTCCACATACCAGGAACTTGCCACTTCACTTTCCAGAAAAATTTGCTTGGCCTCCCATCTTCACTGCATGATATATTCCAGCTTGCAGTAGTGAAGGCTCCTCCATTCCTTGTGGTAGGAAAAGGGAGAGGGCCCTCAGAGGCTGTGTGTGTGTGTGTGTGTGTGTGTGTGTGTGTGTGATGCACAGATGTTACTTATCTGTGTGATTTCTACTGAAAGCACTGAAGGATTAAAGACGGGGAAGGTGGCCGGGTGCGGTGGCTCATGCCTGTAATCCCAGCACCTGGGGAGGCCGAGGTGGGCGGATCACAAGGTCAGGAGTTTGAGACCAGCCTGGCCAACATAGTGAAACCCCAACTCTACTAAAAATACAAAAAATTAGCTGGGCATGGTAGTGGGTGCCTGTAGACCTAGCTACTCGGGAGGCTGAGGCAGGAGAATCACTTGAACCCAGGAGGTGGAAGTTACAGTGAGCCGAGATCACACCACTGCACTCCAGCCTGGGCGACAGTGCAAGACTCTGTCTCAAAAAAAAAAAAAAAGAAAAAGAAAAAGAAAAAAAAAAAACAGGGTAAAGGAACCATACTTGCAGGACGACTGTACCACTCAAACTTTTGAACACGGACATGGCCCTTGCCAGAGAATATCAATGGTGCTAGTGACCACTTCTTGACTCATGGAATTACTCAACATTTTTCTCACCACTGTCAGCATGAGTCTTTAAATAGTGGAAGGCCCAGATGGAGGAGAGGAAATGACCACTTCCAAATGCAAAAGCAGAAATTCAAAGCTGTCTGCTTTCCTATGAATATAGAATTACTACCTCCAGAAACCTAGAAAAAGCAGGGGAAGGACCAGGATGCAGCAGTTTATCCTGGGAGTAGTAAATGTACTCTAATGCAGTGGACACAGTGGACTGTACAGCCAGGGGAAGAGAGTGGGTCAGAGCATTCTGAGAACTGGCCTTGGGGCTTTCACCTCTTATATCAATTGCACATAGAGAAATGGGCAGCGACAGATGGAGGTGACTGGGAATAGTACAACGTAAGTGGGTGGGATCATTGCACCTGAAGCTGAGCAAGTCCCTGACTGATGTGTAGAGTCACTAAGTACAGAACAATTGGAGGGTAAAGGCGGCACAGGCAAAGCCCCTCCTTCAGGTGCCATCCCAGGATCAGTCAAGCTGAAGCCCAGAGGAAATGCATAACTCAAGAATTTTGATCAAGTTGTGCCTTCTGGACAGAGATACCAAGTTCTGAAGGCTGGATTTGGGTGTGATATTCAACATCATGGACTGTGTCTGAGACCAGACCACCACACTCCCCATAGGGGCAGTGATAGGTGGCACCATGCAGACAGTTAGGCGTTGCTAAGTCAGAAGAGGGTCATTTGGGGCAAATGAATCGTCTCACAGGGATTCTACAGGGATGAAGCCAGCAGACAGACCAGAGAGATCTGACAATGGATGGTTTGAAGCAAAAGGCAGGAAGCATGGTTTAAATAAGTGTGGGTGACGTACTTTCTCTACACTGGGTGTCGGTGGTGTGGGTGAGGAGAGGACTAAGGCTTCCATTAAAGCTGGCAACTCTCTTATGTAAGAGAATCTAGTAGAGTGCAACGCTCGTAGGCCATTTTACCTTTTTGTTCCTTTGCTTTTCAGCTTTAATTTTTACAATTTCAGTTTCTCTAATAGTCAAAATGTAATTTGATAAACCAATTTTTTAATGCTGTTAATGAAGCTCCATTTTGGTTCTGATGCTTGGTAATTCAGACAAATCAAACAGTACTGCTATTTGAGGCAGTATTAAAGAATGAGGAGTGTTTGCCATTCTTTTTTTTTTTTTTTTTTTTGAGACTGAGTCTTGCTCTGTCGCCCAGGCTGGAGTGCAGTGGCACGATCTCGGCTCACTGCAACCTCTGCCTCCCGGGTTCATGCCATTCTCCTGCCTCAGCCTCCCGAGTAGCTGGGACTACAGGCGCCCACCACCATGCCCGGGTAATTTTTTATATTTTTAGTAGCGATGGGGTTTCACCCTGTTAGCCAGGATGGTCTCGATCTCCTGACCTCGTGATCCGCCCACCTCGGCCTCCCAAAGTGCTCCCAAAGATTACAGACGTGAGCCACTGTGCCCAGCCGAGTGTTTGCCATTCTTAAATGCCCAAACCCCATGACACTGTGAAACCTGACCCTCAGTAAATAAAGTGACTATCTTGATGCAAGCTTTCATAGTTATTCTCTAGAACGGATTATCTCACATTCAATAATTCATCTACTCAGTCTCAAAGGTCTTCCATACAAACTGCATTCATATCACTTCTCTCCAATATGATGTCTCTGATGCTGAATGAGGTTTGCAGTCTGGTTAAAAGCTTTCCCACATTTATTACATTTATAGGGTTTCTCTCCTGTGTGAATCCTCTGATGTTGAGTCAGGTGAGTGCTTCGGATAAAGGCTTTCTCACAGATTTTACATTTGTAAGGTTTTTCCCTAGTATGAATTCTCTTATGTTGGGTAAGGGCTGAATGGTCACTGAAGGCTTTTTCACATATGTTACATGTATAAGGTTTTTCCCCAGTATGAATTCTCTGATGTTGGGCTAGTGCTGATTGGTCCCGAAAGGCTTTCTCACACAAGCCACATCTGTAAGGTTTCTCTCCAGTGTGAATTTTCCGATGTCGTGCAAAGGATGAATTATCCCTGAAAGCTTTCCCACATTCATTACATTTATAAGGTTTCTCTCCAGTATGAATTCTCTGATGTTCAGTAAGGGAAGAGTTCACCCTGAAGGCCTTCCCACATTCATTACATTCAAAGGGTTTCTCTCCAGTGTGAATTCTCTGATGCTGAAGGAAACTTGTACTCTGATTAAAGGCTTTTCCACATTCATTGCATTTATAGGGTTTCTCTCCACTGTGGATATTCTGGTGTTTGGTAAGGTGTGCCCTGCACACAAAGGCTTTTTCACAAATGTTACATTTAAAAGGTTTCTCTCCAGTATGTATTCTATGATGATGGGCAAGGTGTATATTTCGGATAAAAGCTTTTCCACATAAGTTGCATTCAAAAGGCTTCTCTCCAGTATGAATTTTCTGATGGTACGTAAGTGAGGAGCTCACTGAGAAGGCCTTGCCACATTCCTTACATTCATAGGGTTTCTCGCCAGTGTGAATTCTTTGGTGATGGATAAGGTGCGTACTCTGGTGAAAGGCTTTCCCACATTCTCTACATTCATATCTTTTCTCCTTAATATGAATTTTCTGATTTGCATTTTTTTCATTATGAATTTTCTGATGTTTATTAAGAGTTGAACTCTTAGAGAAGACTTTTCCACACTCACTACACTCAAAGGCATTTTTGCTAGGTTGAAATCCCTGACTTTGATCACTGTGAAGAGATGAGCTCATAGTGCTCCCGGATTCATCACATTCCTGTGATGGGGTGTTGGGGTGAGTGAGTACCACTCGCTGCAAACTGATCTCCTGGCCTCCACATTGCCACTCCAGCAGGCTAGCACACTTCCAGTGACTACTGCTACTGAATCTTTCCTTTATTGTCCATTGATCCAATTCTTCTTCAGGAATCTCTGCCTTGACAGTAGATTTCTTACTGGCAGGCATAGTCATCCAGTCTGAAAGACATTAAAAATAAAAATGTCTGTTTTACCCTAGCAAAACATTTGGATGGGGCAAGATGACGAGCCTCTTCATAATGCTAACAGAAAGATTTCAAGTTTGAAGATTTTCTGAAGTAACAACAAGAAAGGACAGAAAAGAGGGGTGAACAGAGGACTACAGCAGGGGTTGATCTCATGTATAATGTATGAGGCAGGAGAGCTTGGAAGCATGATCTTAGAAGTCACAGGTGGCTGGGCGTTGTGGCTCACACCTGTAATCCCAGCACTTTGGGAGGCCAAGGCGGGTGGATCACGAGGTCAGGAGATCGAGACCATCCTGGCTAACACGGTGAAACCCCGTCTCTACTAAAAATGCAAAAAATTAGCCGGGCGTGGTGGTGGGAGCCTGTAGTCCCAGCTACTCAGGAGGCTGAGGCAGGAGAATGGTGTGAACCCGGGAGGCGGAGCTTGCAGTGAGCCGAGATCGCGCCACTGCATTCCAGCCTGGGTGACAGAGTGAGACTCCGTCTCAAAAAAAAAAAAAGTCACAGGCCTGGGTTAGAATTGAGTACAACACATATTTTCTTTGTGATAATAGAGAAGTTATCTGATTTTCTAAGCCTCAAAAAAAAGAAAAACCTGATAAAGACCACATGATGCTAACAGACAAGAAGAAAAGTACCCTGTCGATTCAAATGAGATGATTTTTAAAGCCAGCCAGATGTGGCCTAAAGAAACTGCTGAAAATAGTAGTCGACACTTGGTAGGAAAAACCTTGACTCTAGAGTGAATACTAAAATCAAGATATAGGCTCATTTGAGCATTCAGATGAATAATAAAAAGCTAGGCCGCTGTACAGGCTGTGTGAAATGCTCATATCTACTAAAAAAATAAGGACCTCCTATTGCTTGTGAGGAAGCAATGTCTCCAAACCCATATGAATAATGTGACACCCATGGGAGGGAAATGTGCCATGAGATATTTTGTGGCAAAGTTATCTCAGGATAAACGCTGCAGCTGCAAGCACTGCCGGCAAGTATTCTCAGGGCAAACAGGAGAGGGCCTAAAATGTAAAACTAAGGGCTAGATTCCAAACACAGACGATGCAGAATTCACGAGAAATCCCATCAAGAACAAGCCATCCTTATTACCTCCTTTTCCCACTCGCTGCAGAAAATCTTCTACAAAAAGGCACTCCTGGTATCATTTTAGAATCAAAGAAACAAACCTCTTTACTTACTAGGAAAAGAAAGGTAAACAGGCGCATTTCAAGACTAAAATCCTGTTGAGCTCAGAATAATATATCCTTGTTCAAAACAAAGAATGGTCAAAGTTAAACATCGGTATTGCCAAATGTCAAAATGTTAAGGACTGACTTCCACTTCTGGCCCAAATAGAGTAGACTGTGGCAGACTAACATTTCTGCAGAAAACAACTAGAAAATCTGAATTGGAAAAAGTTATCTGTCTGAAGGCATCAGATGT
This sequence comes from Homo sapiens, assembly GCF_000001405.40. Lineage (NCBI taxonomy): Eukaryota > Metazoa > Chordata > Mammalia > Primates > Hominidae > Homo > Homo sapiens. The sequence goes on along the minus strand of NC_000005.10, from coordinate 178,963,185 downwards.
CACCCAGGCAGACTTTATAGTCTAATATTTGGGAGAGAATGAAAATATAGAGAGGTGATCCCAATACTCAGTGGCTTGTTACTCAAACATTTTATTGAATTCTTAAGCTTTACAGGGCAAAAGATTAAAGTTAAGCAGAAATCCAGAATTTTCTAGTCTTTTAGTACAACAGAACCAGGACCTTCCAAGGAGAGGTCATAATAACATGTGAAGCTCTCAGCCGGGACTCCTGCAGGGCTACAAAACTAGTAGTACGGGCAAATGAGCAGTTGACATAGCTTTACAAATATTGTGACCAACCTCCAGCTATTACAGGCCTTGGCTGGACTAAGATGGTTTGCTTGCACTCTAGCTGCTACCAGGGAAGTTAAATCTTCTCTGGAAGAACAACATCTAGAGCCTCTGCTCTCCTTCACATATAGTGTCAGGGATACAATAAAAAAGGCCAGCTGTGCTAAGAAATTCAATGAAGAGGGAAAAACAGACAATAGAAAAAGAACCGTAGAACACAGATACCAGAGTTATCAGACGTGAACCTTAAAATAACTGTGATTAATATGTTCAAGGAAACAGGAATGAGAATTACAACAAAGAATTGGAACCAAATAATCAAATGGAAATTCTAGAACTGAGAAATACAATAACCAAAATTATGAATTCAATAGTCTTTAACAAGATATCAAATATAGCAGAAAAGAGGAATAGTGAGCTACAAAAATACATAAGCAGAAAATATCCATAGTAAAACATGGCTAAAAAACTAAACATTATTTAAAAACAAAAAGGTTGAAAAATGAACTCTGAGAAGGGCTATAAACTCCAAGGATAACTACAAAGAAAATTCACCTAGGCACCTCAGCTAGGCACTACTGAAAACTGAAGATTACCTTGAAAGTTGCTTGAAAAAAACAAATGATACACTACCTTTGAAAAAGCAAAACTAAGACTGGCAGTGTCTTAATGAAAACAATGGAACCCAGAAGACAATGAAGTAACATCTGAAGCGGTGAAAGAACCGAACTGTCAAGCTAGAATTCAACACACAGAGAAAATATCTCTAAAAATTAAACTTGAAGTAGATATTTCCATACAAATAAAAACAGAGATGGTGTCACCAGCAGATCTACATTAAAAGAAACACAGATGTGTTCCAGGCAGAAGAAAAATAATTCCATGTGGAAATATGAAAATGTAAGAAGGCATGAAAAGCAATGGAAAAGTTAAATATATGGATAAGCAAAAATACAATTGATTATATGAGACAATAATTATAATGTCTTAATGGATTGCAAATATATGTGGAATTAAAATACATAGCAAAAATAAAGGTAGAAGGAAGAAAATGCTGTTAATTTTTTTTTTTTTTTTGAGACAGAGTCTCGCTCTGTTGCCCAGGCTGGAGTGCAGTGGTGATCTCAGCTCACTGCAACCTCTGCCTCCTGGATTCAAGCGATTCTCCTGCCTCAGCCTCCCGAGTAGCTGGGACTACAGGTGCACGCTGCCATGCCCAGCTAATTTTTTTTTTGTGTTTTACTAGAGACAGGGTTTCACCGTGTTGCCCAGGCTGGTTGCGAACTCCTGAGCTGAGGCAATCCGCCCGCCTTGGCCTCCCAAAATGCTGGGATTACAGGCGTGAGCCACCACACCTGGCCAAAAATGCTGTTAATTTTTAAGATTGTAACAATAATTTTAATTTTATTAAAAGTAAAAATTTATTTTGGACAGTAATAAGCTGGTTTTATTTATTAACAATAAAAGACTAAGTAAAGAAGGTTAATTAACAAGCTAATACAGAGTGAAAATGGCACAATAAAAGTATTTAATCCAATAGAAGGAAGGAAAAAAGGACAAGGAATTTAAAGCAAGTAAGTGAAATATAAAATAAATAATAGGATAGTAGATATAAAATCCCATACATAGTAACTTACCTAAGTTATTTTTAAAAACTAAGATTGTGGGCCAGGTGTGGTGGCTCTTGCCTGTAATCCTAGCACTTTGGGAGGCTGAGGCGGACAGATCACGAGGTCAAGAGATTGAGACCATCCTGGCCAACGTGGTGAAACCCCGTCTCTACTAAAAATACAAAAATTAGCCGGGTGCAGTGGCACGCACCTGTAATCCCAGCTACTTGGGAGGCTGAGTCAGAAGAATCGCTTGAACCCAGGAGGCAGAGGTTGCAGTGAGCTGAGATCGTGCCACTGCACTCCAGCCTGGCGACAGAGTGAGACTGTGTCTCAAAAAAAAAAAAAAAGATTGTGAGACTGGATGAACAAATAAAACATAACTGAGTATCATTTAGAAAAGAAATACCAAAAATATAGACACTGAAATAATAAAATAATTAAAAAGGATATATCATACAAAAGAAAGGTGCTATACCCATACTAATATCAGACAAATCACACAGTATTGGAGAAAACAGACTTTAAGGTATTTTATATAGACAAAAGGGTCAATTCTCCAGGAACATACAACAAATTTTCATTTGTATGCACACAACATAACTTTAAAAATGTATAAAGTAAAAATAGAATAAAAAGGAAAAATAGATAAATCAATAATCATAGTGAAAAATGTTCATATGGCACCCTCAATGACTCAGAAATCAAACCATTAAGAAAAGGAATGGGCTGGCCAGGTGTGGTGGCTCATGCCTGTAATCCCAGAACTTTGGGAGGCCAAGGCGGGTGGATCACCTGAGGTCCGGAGTTTGCGACCAGCCTGACCAAGGAGAAACCCCGTCTCTACTAAAAATACAAAATTAGCCGGGCGTGGTGGCACATGCCTGTAATCCCAACTACTCCGGAGGCTGAGGCAGGAGAATCGCTTGAACCGGGGAGGTGGAAGTTGCAGTGAGCCAAGATCTTTCCATTGCACTCCAGCCTGGGCAACAAGAGCGAAACTACGTTTCAAAAAAAAAAAAAGAAAAGGAATGGGCTGGACACAGTGGCTCATGCTTGTAATCCCAGTGCTTTGGGAGGCCAAGGCAGGAGGACCGCTTGAGTCTAGGAGTCCAAGACCTGACTGGGCAATATGGTGAAACCTCGTCTCTACAAAAAATTTTAAAAATCAGCCAGGCATGGTGATGTGTTCCTGTAGTCCCAGCTACTCAGGAGGCTGAGGTGGGAGGATCGCCATAAGCCCAGGAGTTCAAGGTTGCCATGAACAATGATCACACCACTGCACTCCAGCCTGGGCAACAGAGCAAGAACTTGTCTCAAAAAACAAAAAAAAGAAAAGAAAAGAAAAGAAAGAAAAAAAGAAAAGAAAAGAAAAAAAGGGGCCGGGCACGGTGGCTCATGCCTGTAATCCCAGCACTTTGGGAGGCCGAGGCGGGTGGATCACGAGGTCAGGAGATCGAGACCATCCTGGCTAACACGGTGAAACCCCGTCTCTACTAAAAATACAAAAAATTAGCCAGGCGTGGTGGTGGGCGCCTGTAGTCCCAGCTACTCAGGAGGATGAGGCAGCAGAATGGCGTGAACCCAGGAGGTGGAGCTTGCAGTGAGCTGAGATTGTGCCACTGCACTCCAGCCTGGGCAACAGAGCGAGACTCCGTCTCAAAAAAAAAAGGAAATGATCTCAACAACCCAATAAACACATTTGACCTCAAATTCTCAATTGTCCCCCATTAGTCTACACTTTCAGCCCAATTCTTATCAAAATTCCAGCAGGAATTTTGTGAAAATTGAATAGCCAATTCTAAAATTCTAAAAGAAGAGGACAAAACTGGAGAATTTACGTCAGCAAGTGTAAGGCTTATTATAATGCTCGAGTAATCTAAAGCAATGTTGTGTTGGCACAAGATTAGACAGAAAGAATGAAAGAGAATAGAGTCCAGAAACAAATCTGTATGCAAACAGACCAATGGAACAGATTATGGAACCCGGAATGAGACCCACGTACATGCAGTCACCTCATATATGACAAAGGTGACAGTGCAGTACAATGGGGGAAAAGGCAGTCTTTCTAGCAAGTGATCCTGGGTCAACTGGATACCCCTATAGAAAATAATGAGCAATCAATCTTCCATATGGACTGTAGACTCAAGTATTTAAGACAAAATACTACAGCTACTATAGGAAAACACAGATCTTCATGTGCTTAAGATGTCCTAAATAGAACACAACAAGCGTTAACCATAGGCAGAAAAAGAAAAAAAAAAGACCTCTGATGAATTCAGGTATCTCAAAATTCAGAATTTCTATTTATCAGATGACATCATTATCCAGAGTGGGAAACAATATTTGCATATATATGACAAGATTCTGCATTTCAAATATACAGCCCTATAAGCCAATAACAAAAGATCAGACAACAAAATAAAAGTGGGGCAAAGATGTATAGATACTTTAAAAAAGAGGGTATTGAAATTCTAAAAGTAAGAAGATCAACTTCAGTTATAACCATACATCCTCTAGAATGGTAGAAAACCTTTTGTAACGATAATACTACGTGTATAAGAGTTGATATGGAAACCTTGCATTTCGCCGGTAGGAGTATAAATTAGTATAACCACTTCGGAAAACTATTTGGCTCTGTCTGTTAGAGTTTGCATATGCATAATCATAGCACTCCTAGCTATTTAATCAAGGAAAATGTGTACCTATGTTTTCTAAAAGTTGCAGAAGAAATGTTCATAATGGTACTATTCGTAATAGCTCTAAGCTAGAAATAAACCAAATGTCTAGCAACAGTAAAATGTACAAATAATGACAGGTTTATATGGCGAAACATTATATAGCAATGAGAATGAACCAACTATTGTTCCAAGTGACAACAAGGATGAATCTCAGACATACTGTTGAAAGCAAGAAGCCAGACACAAAAGAGTACATACTGTATGATTTAAAGTTTAAAAACAGGCAAAACAAATCTATTGCCAGAGTAGTTGTTACCTTTACGACAAAAGAAACTGCGAGGGGACTGGGTGGTTACAAGGGGTGCTGGTAACGTTCTATTTCTTGATGTGAGTGCTGACTACACAGATATATTTAAACAGTAAAAATTCACTGAGTTGGACATTTATGATCTATGTACTTTTAGTATAAAGATGTATATAGAAAACAGTTTCTGTATAAATTTCAAAAAAGTTTGCTTTAAAAAATCTAGGGGACGGCTTTCAAAAATAATAAAAACACCAATTTCTAGCTTTCTTTTCTATCAGCTATTGGATACTGACATCTATTAAAACCTTTTATTGATTGTGATTAAAAACACATCATCTATGTATAAGAGAATACATGACTTGAAATATTTTTTGAGGGTAATTATTTGACTTTTTAAATATTTTATATTACATGATAACACTCATCTTCAAATAGAGTTTACCAAGAGGGGAGTCAAATGCATCCCGGTTTGACCACACTGAAAATTAATTGAGGTGTGAATTAATCCAGTTCAGTAAGACTGGTCTTACTGGCACTGATTTAGCCTGCAGTACAAAAGAGCACTCTGGTGTGAGCAACTCAGGCACACTCACTGGGTCCCAGGTCACTTCAGGGTAGGCTAAATTAAGGAGACCTACCCCTACCTACATTGGAGGTCAGGAGATCGAGACCATCCTGGCTAACACGGTGAAACCCCGTCTCTACTAAAAATACAAAAAATTAGCTGGACGTGGTGGCAGGCGACTGTAGTCCCAGCTACTCGGGAGGCTGAGGCAGGAGAATGGCCTAAACCCAGGAGGTGGAGCTTGCAGTGAGCCGAGATCGTGCCACTGCACTCCAGCCTGGGCGACTGAGTAAGACTTCGTCCCCAAAAAAAATAAAATAAAATAAAAAATAAAAATAAAAAAGATGGTTTTAAAATCCTTAATGTAGGCTTTGAAGTGGCATGCAAGTAGTATGTTCCAAGCCTCCTATATAATGTTGTCAAGAGGTCACACCCAGGGAGGGACCAAACGCTAGACCAATTCACTCCTCAATCACCTAAAGTTTCAAGAATTGGTCCCATCAATTTTATCTCGAAGTGGAAGTTAGGACGAATAAAATAAGAAAGACTGGGCCGGGCGCGGTGGCTCACGCCTGTAATCCCAGCACTTTGGGAGGCCGAGGTGGGCGGATCACGAGGTCAAGAGATCGAGACCACCCTGGCCAACATGGTGAAACCCTGTCTCTACTAAAAACACAAAAATTATCCGGGCGTGGTGGCAGGCGCCTGTAGTCCCAGCTACTCGGGAGACTGAGGCAGGAGAATCGCTTGAACTCGGGAGGCGGAGCTTGCAGTGAGCCGAGATTGTACCACTGCACTCCAGCTTGGTAACAGAGTGAGACTCCATCTAAAAAAACAAACAAACAAAAAATACAAAAAATTAGCCGGGCATGGTGGCGGGCGCCTGTATTCCCAGCTACTCGGGAGGCTGAGGCAGGAGAATGGTATGAACCCGGGAGGCAGAGCTTGCAGTGAGCCGAGATCGTGCCACTGCACTCCAGCCTGAGTGACAGAGAGAGACTCCGTCTCAAAATAAATAAATAAATAAATAAATAAATAAATAAATAAATAAATAAATTAAATAAAATAAAATAAAGACTGGTTTAAGGTCAGTTTACCCTGACCTTAGGTGCCCAGATCCTCTTCCCATCCTTTTCCCAACTCAAGGGAACTGGGGGATTTGCCCTTTCTCAATGTGGCAAAAGACTTGAGGCTTTTTTTTTTTTTTTTTTTCTTTTCAGGAGAGCAAAACAAAGTTGCTCTGGACGGAAGATGCCTGGGGCGGGAGAACTGTGTTGGGGCCGGAGAACTGTGTTGAAGACTGAAGCCCCACTTACCCAGAACGTCCAAAAAGGACGTTAGTCTTCCCACTGCCTGGATAGGCAATGAGGGATTACTAGCTGTAACTGAGGAAAGCTTCTCACAAGAAAGAAATACCAAAATCATCAAACAGAAAACTAGAGAAAACGGACCCAATGATGGGAGAAGAAAATGTCTTTGAAAATCATTATCTTTAAATGTAAGATATTTTAACTGTAAAACAGGAATAAGAGCTTATTTTTGAAAAAGGCAATATTCAGAGAAACAAGAGTTCTTGGAAATCAAAAATGATTAGAGGATTCAAAAACAAAATAGAGTTCCTTTTGTAAACAATTAGAAAACCAGAAAAAAGTAGGAAATGACTGTTTTGAGGTAAATGACAAATGTGGTGGAGGACAGTGGTTCCTGAGAGAAGGGAAACAAGCCAGGTAAGACCTACAGATGCCCCAGTTTAGTCCCTGGAGGCAGACTCCAGGTCATGGCACAGGAGCAAAACAGAGCCCAGGGGTCTCAATAAATTGAGGGCACAGAGATCAGGGTTTGGGAAGGCCATGGCTACAATCTGTAAGCCACCAAAGAGAAGAAAGCCACAGAAACTGAATTTGCAGTTTAAAACTGTCCCACAAGTCTTCTGCTCCTGGCCCAGAAGACTTCACTAGTTCTGTCAAATATTTAATAAAGAAATAACAGCATTTTGACACAAATTTTCCCAGAAAACAGAAGGAGAAATTTCCCAATTCATTTTGTGAGACTAACATTACTCTGAGAGCAGAGACAGAGATGTTATAAGGAAAGGAAACTATAGACTAATATCACTCATGAATATCAATGCAAACTCTTTAACAAAATGTTCACAAATTTGATTCAGCAATACTTAAAAAGGATAGTAAGTTGAGACTAAGTTATGCTTATACCAGTAATACAACTTTGACTTGGTCCTTAAAAACCAATGTAATTCATTTTATCAACCACAGCATCATCTTAAGGACTGAGAAAAACAATTGACAAAAATTTAGTATCTATTTGTGATAAAACTCTCACATCAAACCAGAAATGGGCATAAACTTCCTCAACCTAATAAAGAGCGTCTACAAAAAGCCTACTGCTAACATCATACTGATGGTGAAAGGCTGAATGCTTTCCCACTAAGACAGGGAAGAAGGCAAGGCCACCCCACTACAGCTCCTACTCAACTTTGTGCAGGAGGTCCTAACCAGTGCAATAAGAAGCAACCAGATAGATCCCATATACATGGCTGTGGGAATACAGAATGGAATGGTTGCTTTGAAAATAGTTTCACAGTTTATTACGGAGTTAAACACACACTTAGTATACAACCAGCAATCCTACTCCTAGGCAATTACCCTAATGAGAACATATGCCCACAAAAAAACATGTAAACTATCCACAAAAACTTACACAAGAATGTTCATAGTGGCTTTAGCCCAAAACTGAAAGCAACTCAAATCCTCACTGGTGATGAATGGATGAGCAAACCGTGGTACATCCATACAGTGGGAGGCTACTCAGCAATGGCAAGGAACTGCTGACATGTGAAACAACAGGGATGAGTGTCAAAGACATCATGCCAGTAAAGAAGCCAGACAGAAAGAGCACGCACTGGGCAACTCCATTCACATGAAATCCTGGAGAGGGGTACTCGCAGTGGCAGCAAGTAGGTTAGTCGCTGCCAGGCCCTGTGGGCAGGGGAAGGAATTAACAGCAAAGGAGTAAGACAGAACTTTGGGGCATAAGAAAAATGTTGTCTTCCTTGATTTGGTGATGGCTACAAATTGTATAAATTTGTCAAAACTGATCAAATTTTACACTTCAAATTGGTGAATTTTATTCCATGTAATTGTAATCTGATGAAGCTGAGTAAGAATTATTTTTAAAATCTCAGTAGAAGAGTTGGAAGACAAAGTTGTGGAAACCTGTCAAAAAGCACATACACCAAAGTGCATAAAAGATGAGAATTTTGATAATAAGAAAATTAGAAGACCAATCTAGGGTGTCCATTATTAGTATCAAGTATTCCACAAAGAGAAAAAGAAAAAAACTGAAGGTGGAAATCAAACAATAATAGAGAAAATGTCCTAGAGTCAATGGGCAGGAATTTTATTTTACTTATTTATTTTTATTTTTTTAAGACACAGTTTCACTCTGTTGCCCAGCTGTTGTCCAGCCTGGCACTCCAGCCAGGCTGAAGTGCAGTGGTACAATCTCAGCTCACTGCAACCACTGCCTCCTGGGTTCAAGTGATTCTTGTGCCTCAGTCTTCCGAGTAGCTGGGATTACAGGCTCCCACCACCACACCCGGCTAATTTTTGTATTTTTATAGAGATGGGGTTTTGCCACGTCAGCCAGGCTGGTCTCGAACTTCTGACTTCAAGTGATCCACCTGCCTCGGCCTCCCAAAGTGCTGGGATTACAGGTGTGAGCCAACATGCCTGGTTGGGCAGGAATTTTAGACGGAAAGTTTCACTAAATGCTCAGCCAAAGGCTCACCAATGCTCAGTGGATAAAAATAGAACCACAGTAGGGAACATCACTGGGAAATTTAAGATCACTGGAGTAAATGAGAAAATCTTGCAAGTTTTCAGAGAGGAAAAACAGGTTACAAATGATTAAGAAACAGAGTGATTTTGGATTTCTTAACAGCAGCCTGAGGTCCAGAAAACAATGGAGTAATGTCAAATTTCTGAAGGAAAATGATTTCCAGTGCTGAATTCTATCCAGTTGAATGATCCATAAAGTGTCAGGGAGTAAAAAAGACATCTACAGACAGGCTAGGGTAGAAAATATGCATTTCCTTGCATTCTTCCTGAGGAAGCTACAAGGAGATGTATGCCACCAAAAGGAGAGAGCAAACCACGAAAGAAGACACGAGACACAGTGAACAGCGTAGTGAACGGCCAAGGATAGAAGGGGATTCTCAGGATGCCAGCTGGGCACCAGATGCAGAAGGCCAAGCCTTCTAGAATGGAGGTCAGAAGGCTCCAGAAAAGATGAAGACAATGAGAGAAATAATGAGATCAAATTAATGATCAATATAAACTAAACTAAGAACCAATGAATTCTAGGAATACATTGCTTAGGAAAGCAAAAGTGGTCATAATTTCCGACACAGCTCAGTTATGACTAGTGTTTAAGAATGTAAACATTGACTACTGACCAAGTCAAAGCTACACTACAACCGAGAGGACAGCGAATGGAAATCCAACAAGCAGGAGTCACTGAAGGGGCAGGGGCTGAGTTTAAGCCTCACTTCGTATAGAAAGAATTCAATACATGTCTAAAACTGAAAAGTCAAGAGGTAGCAACACAAACATGTCACTTGCAGAAATGGAAGCAAATATATCAAATAATCAGCTAAAAGAAGAGGGAGTGGCTACTTCTAGAGAGGGGAAAATGGGGAAGTGGGGGGAAAGAGCCACCATTGTTCACCACAAACCTCATACAGTTTCATTAAATGCTTGTATTACTTCAATTAAAAATAAATGCTTAAAATAAAGAAAAGGGGGAAAAAACAGAATAAACTCCAAAAAAGTTGAAGGAAACAGTGAAGAACAAAAATTAATAAAATAAACAAAAATAGAAAGGATCAGCAAAGTCACATGTTTAGTCATTTAAAAGTCTAATAAAAGACAAACTTTTGACAACATTTACACAGAAAAAAAAGAAAAAGGTAAATATTATTAGAAATTAACTTATTCAACAAATACATACTGAGACCTAGTATTGCCCAAGATACAAGAGCAAACAAGACAAAGTCCTTCCCTCATGGATCAAAAGATAGGAAAGATGATTTAAACAGGACACCGAAAGCACTAAGAATAAAGATCATAAAGACAAAGACTAATAGATTTTACTTCCTCAGGTAAGAACTTCTGTTCATAAAGAAAGAGACACGGTAGGCTATAGACTGGAGAAGATAACGGACATTCATACAAACTGATAAAGTAGAGATTCCTAAATACAGACAGAGCTCCTATAAACGAATACAAAAAGAAACTGTCATAGAAAAACGGGCAAAGAATAGGAATGTGTAAGTCGTAGAAAGTAAATAATCAATAAATATATGAAAAGATGTTCAACCTCGGCGCGGTGGCTCACGCCTGTAATCCCAGCACTTTGGGAGGCCGAGGCGGGCGGATCACGAGGTCAGGAGATCGAGACCATCCCGGCTAAAACGGTGAAACCCCGTCTCTACTAAAAATACAAAAAATTAGCCGGGAGCAGTGGCGGGCGCCTGTAGTCCCAGCTACTCGGGAGGCTGAGGCAGGAGAATGGCGTGAACCCGGGAGGAGGAGCTTGCAGTGAGCCGAGATCGCGCCACAGCACTCCCGCCTGGGCGACAGAACGAGACTCCGTCTCAAAAAAAAAAAAAAAACAAGATGTTCAACCTCACTAGTAATGAAGGAAACATAAATGAAAACCACAAGATACCATTTCTCAGGAATAAGACTAACAGAATTTTTAGAAACTCTGATAGTTTCAAATTTGGGCAGGGATTTAAGTAACAGAAACTTGCATCAACTGTTAGTATAATTTGGAACAACTAATTTGATGATCAATCTGAGAATATCTAGTGAAGTTGAAGGAGCATATAACCTTAAATCCAGTACCTCTACATCTATGAATACACGCAAAGAAACTCCCAAACAAGGTCCATGTATATAAGGAAACATATACAAGAATATTCAGGTCAGCATTATCCATAATAGTAAAAAGTCTGGAAATAACTTACACAGCCAGCAGCAGGAGACTGGATAAAGTAAGGTATATCACTGAAGGAAAAGTGCAATTTCAGAAATGACCTAGAGCTACGTGCCTCAACATGGATCTGAAAAAAGCCAGTTGTAGAAAGGTTTCTACAGTAAAGTACATACATGTTAAGTTTTAAAGCACGCAACGGCAAAGCAAATATTGCTTAGATCTATAGACGTCTGTGGCAAACCCACAAAGAGAAGCACAGGAGATGCTGGTATAAAATTCAAGCTAGTAGCTCTCTTTGTTATAAGAGGAAGAAAACACAAAGAGAGGCACAGTGGACTTCAAAAGTGCTGCAGCGCTCCAGTACCCAAGCTGGATGGTGAGGCACGGGCCTTTCTTCCTTATCATTCTTTAAACTGTTCAAAAATACTACATATTATTTTGTGTATACATGATGTACGATATTCAAAATAAATTTATTTTATAGTGAAACAAAGAAATGATAATGGTGTGTGTAGAAATTACATGTAAGAGCAATAAATAAGAAACAGTTCTTTAAGGCCGGGTGCAGTGGCTCATGCCTGTAATCCCAGCACTTTGGGAGGCCGAGGTGGGCGGATCACAAGGTCAGGAGATCGAGAGCATCTGGGCCAACATGGTGAAACCCCATCTCTACTAAAAACACAAAAATTAGCCGGGCGTGGTGGCAGGCACCGGTAGTCCCAGCTCTTCTGGAGGCTGAGGCAGGAGAATAGCTTGAACCCGGTAGGCAGAGGTTGTAGTGAGCCGAGATCACGCCACTGCACTCCAGCCTGGACAACAAGAGCGAAACTCTTGTCTCAAAAAAAAAAAAAAGAAAGAAATGGTTCTTTAAAAGAAAATTCCAAGCAAATTTAAGAGAAAAAAGTTCAGATAAAATTGGAAATAAGAGGACATAATATACAATATTAAAATAATAGATAATACATAGTTGTAATCTAATACATTTTATAACTCAAAAAAGATAAAGCTAAAGAATAAAATGTACAATCGATGTAGCAAAAATAAACCTCAACAGATTAATAAATAAGGAAGAAATTATAAAAGGTATTAGCAACTCCTCAATTAAGGAATCACCGAGCATTGGTGAGCCTTTGGCTGAGCATTCCTTTACGTTTGGTGAGTGGACAATTTATATGTAATTAAAACTATTTTGGAGAAGGGAAAAAAGTGCAACACTTGAAGGGTCGGGCGAGTCTCCTGCCGGCTTCATGCTAACCCTGACTTGCCTCTTAAAAGCAGCATTACATCAGTCCAAATTAATTCAGCAGTTGAGGCTCCATTTTCTGCGAAGTGGAGTCAGTCATCCTTGCCTCACAGGTTATAAGGATGAAAAGGCGCAGCCAACACAAATCCCCCCAAATCTCTCAGCACGGTGCTGATCCACAGGTGCTCAAATGTCAGCTTTCTCCCCTTCCCCTAGCTCATGGCACAGAGAATAGAAAAACTAAGAAGGAAAGCTATTTACCAAGGACTTTTTCATATTATGATTAAAAATAAGTGTCAGCCAGGTACGGTGGCTCACACCTGTAATCCCAGAACTTTGGGAGGCTGAGGCTGGCGGATCACTTGAGCCCAGGAGTTTGAGACCAGCCTGGGCAACATAGTGAGACCTTGTCTCCACACACAAAAAAAGTGTGCATTCTAAACCATGACTAATTAGTGCAACAATGGAAAATTACTAGATCCAATTCCTTGAAAACCTATTATCATTGCTCTCTATGGTCTTTGATGTCTTAGCCAGTCATTAAGAATGAAACAGAGGCCGGGCGTGGTGGCTCACACCTGTAATCCCAGCACTTTGGGAGGCTAAGGTGGGCGGATCACGAGGTCAAGAGATCAAGACCATCCTGGCCAACATGGTAAAACCCCATCTCTACTAAAAATACAAAAATTAGCTGGGCATGGTGGTGCACACCTATAATCTCAGCTACTTGGGAGGCTGAGGCAGAAGAATCACTTGAACCCAGGAGGCGGAGATTGCAGTGAACCAAGATTGCGCCACTGCACTCCAGCCTGGTGACAGAACGAGACTCTGTCTCAAAAAACAACAACAAAAAACAAAAAAAAGGAAATGAAACAGAAATAAGAGAAAAAAACTAAAAATGAATCCAACAAATATGTTGAGAATGAACATGAATTAGAAACTGACAAGTGACAATAGTAGCTATTTGAAAATGACCAGCACGTCATCATAGCAGAAATTCCCAGTGGACAAAAAACAAAATAGATCTATTTTTTAAAAATATAACCTTATTAGGAGGCTGAGGTAGGAGGATTGAAGTCCAGAGTTTGAGATCAGCCTGGGCAAACTACTAAAAAAAAAGACCAGGCACAGTGGCTCACGCCTGTAATCCCAGCACTTTGGGAGGCTGAGGGGGGCGGATCACCAGAGGTCACGAGTTTGAGAACAGCCTGGCCAACATGACAAAACCTCATCTCTAGTAAAACTACAAAAAATTAGCTGCGCGAGGTGGCAGGCGCCTGTAATCCCAGCTACTTGGGAGGCAGAGGCAGGAGAATCGCTTGAACTCGGGAGAACGGAGGTTGCAGTTAGCCGAGACTGCACCACTGCACTCCAGCCTGGGTGACAGAGTGAGACTCCAACTCAAATAAAATAAAAAATAAAAAATAAATAAAAATTAGCCAGGCAGTGGCAAGCAGCTGTAGTCTCAGCTATTTAGGAGCCTGAGGTTGCAGTGAGCCATGATTACACCACTGCACTCCAGCCTGGGTAACAGAAGGAGACTGTGTCTTCAAAAAAAAAAAAATCTGTGTACATATAATTTATATCAATTATACATTATGTAAATTTATTATTTATTTTTAAATATAAATTATATAAATTCATAGAATAATTTATATAAAATATATATTAAATTTTACATAAATTAGATCTACATATAAAATTTTAATAGGAAATGGGAAAGCTATAAAACTTTCTTGAGACATAAATTAAGTCTTCTCTGACGTCTGACTGGCTAACTGCTAATCACCCTTCCCAAACCAGCCTCAGTGCGGCATCTCCACGAAACTCAGAAATCATGCCTGCGGGAACAGAGTGTGGGCAGGGGCCCAGATGCACTGAACTGTGGTTGGCTGTACCTTCATGTCATCACCCACACCTGACTATGAAATCTCTGTAGGCACAAAAGTCCTCTTCACCTCCATACTCCTCTCTCAAGGGTGCAATGAAGAATTAGACTCCATGAATCATGAATGAATGGATGATTGAATGATTTAGGTGAAAACAGTGATGCCAAGGTGGTAGAACTGTGGATGAATTTCTTTTAATTGCCTCCATTTTTGTTATAAGACTATTTGTATAATACAGAATAAAATATTTAAAATGCCTTAGTTTGGTAATGGAATATACAAATTCATAGACTATTCAGAATATTATTGGGTATATTAAAAATTGTTTGTTGACAACTGAGTTTTAGAGTTAAGATTTTTAATTTCTAGACACATGAGGTGGCTCACGCCTGTAATCCCAGCACTCTGGGAGGCTGAGGGGGGCGAATCACTTAAGATCAGGAATTCGACACCATGCTGGCCAACATGGTGAAACCCCATCTCTACTAGAAATACAAAAATTAGCCAGGCGTGGTGACACACGCCTGTAATCCCAGCTACTCGGGAAGCTGAGGTAGGAGAATTGCTCGAACCCAAGAGGCGGAGGTTGCAGTGAGCTGAGATTGCGCCACTGCACTCCTGCCTGGGTGACACAGCGAGGCTCCGTCTCAAAAAATAAAAAAAAATAAAGAGATATTTAATTTCCATAACAAATTGGGTTCTAGATATTCCAGGTACACAGTTATTTATTGTAGGATATAAATTCCCGCCTACTGCATTGGGTTACCGTGAAGAATCTGTAGCAAAAGGTTTATAAAAATACTCCACAGCCTGCAAAATGCTAGCTGACAGGGAGACGCTACAGTGCTTGGATAAGGCACCAAGCTCTCTCGAATACTGGGGATTAAGGGAGAAAAACACACCACTGCCCTTAAGCCACCGATACAATGAGCTTCTCAAGACAAGTAACCATCACCAAACTGTCATGTCTTTTGTATCCCCAGGCAACAAGTCTGTGCCACTTACTAGGTGCCAAGCACTACGCTAGGTGTGAGCAACACAGCAAAATATACAATAACCTGGGCTCCATGGCACTTGCAGTCAAAGACAATGGCCAGCAAAACGTAGAAGATAAATAACCCACGTGGACAAACACATATGGAGGTAGTTGAAGACAAGTGCAATGTGTAGCTAGAGGAGATACCTTGTGGGCACATGATAACTGGCTCTTAACACCAGAAGCTGCCATGCTGTGGCTCCTCATGAGAGAAGGGCAGGCAGAGACTGCACTGTCAGATGCTGAACAGGACACCCATGAATGGGGGTGTGGGGAGAACTGCCCAGATGAAGTTGAGTCTTTTCTAGACCAGAGACTCTACTAATCTACGCCAAACAGGGAGAGAAGAAAAATCATTGCGGGGAGGGTCCAGGCCTGCTACATGTTGGTAGTGCAGGCTGGAACAAAAGTAGCAACAAGGTATTCAGGTGAACGAATGTGAAACAGGCTCTTTCTCAATCCTCAGGCAGGTGCATCTGCAAGCCTCCCTGCCTTCCCTACGGAGCCTTCCCTACCCAGCAGGGCTCCTCCCGGTGTCTCCCACACACATGATTCTTACCAAGACAGAAGCCTCCAGGGGTGTCCTCTGGCATCCACACTTCCCTTTTTTCTAGCTGGGAAAACGTATCTGGTTTGGGTCCTAAGAGTCCTGTTTTTAAGGGGAGACAAAAATGAACCACATCTGTTTATACGAGAGATAAAAATCACTGCAAAGACAAAGCCTGGTCCTCAGAGCTTGCTGGGAAATGGGACTTGATAGGAAAGCCCAGGGTCAGGTGTGTTCCCAGAGGGAGGAAAAGATTACTCAGGCCTGACACAATCTTATCCCATGTTCCCCTCCTTGCCAGAAAGAAAGCATTTGACCCTAGTCACTTTTGAGGCATCCGCAGTGGACTCCAAAAGAGGCCTGTGCCCAGGACACCAAGGACAGGTAAAATTAATGGCACCCTTGAAGACAGCGTCCTCAGTTGGTCCAACCGACTCTTCTATATGGTGTCAATGTAAGGGTCCCAAAGAGATCCCCAAAAGTGAAGAGAAACCTTGCAGGGGTCCCACTTACCCAGTGAGACCAGGTTGCTGTAGTTCTCCAGCATCACGTCCCTGTACAGGGCCCTCTGGGCGGGGCTCAGCTGCCCCCACTCTTCCTGGGTGAACAGTATAGCCACATCCTTGAAGGTCACCGATTCCTGCAACAGCAAATTCATTCTCCTTGACCAGGGGCTACCCCTGCACATGGTTCTCTGGAAAAGAGACTGGCAGCCCCTAGGAGCTTGTGCGCATTTACAGGACTGCTGGCACACAGGGAGCTGGCGTTCTGTGACAAGTTCATCACTCTTCAGGGTCTCCTAGGGGCCTAGCCTTGGACTAGACATTGCTCTCCACGCTGAAGAAACATATATGGTGGCGAAGATAGGCTTTCTCAGCACTGGGACTTCCAACTTGCCATTCATTTAGCCCAGAACATTTTCTCCATCTCCCTCAAACCGCCTAGCCCTGCCTCTCCGCTCACCCCAGGGGACCAAATCCTACGCAGGTCTCAGCATAGACACGGCTCACTCAACACCGCTCGCTCAGCGCAGCCTTCCCTGATGGCTCCTACAGTTGCCTATGAGGGCCCATCAAGACACTGTCCCATTTTATTGTGATGTTTGGTTTACCTTCAGTCTCCCCCGCTGGACTGTTAACTCCAAGATGTGGACTGTCTGTCTCTACATCTCTTGGCCTTCCCTGCATCTGGAACACGGCCCATGTACTCGACACCTATCTGTGGCTGCTCAGCAACTCCTGCTTTTCTTCAGTGTGTACCTCCCCATCCTCAACACACACACACACCCATACCCACACCCCCCCACACACAGAGACACACACACACAAGCATACATACCCATACCCTTCCACATACACACACACACAAAACACACACCCATATCCACACCCCCTACACACAGAGACACATACACAAGCACACAGACACACACATACACCTATATACAAACACAGACCCATACCCACACCCCCCACACAGAGATGCACAGACACAAGCATACACACCCATATCCCTCCACATACACACACACGACACACCCCCCCCACATTCACATACACACACAAGCATACACACACCCATATCCGTACCCCTCACAAACACACATAAACTCACACACAGACACAGAGACACACACACACAACCCATATCCATACACCCACATACAAACACACACAAACATACACAGACAGACACGTACCACACAAGTGCGCATGCACATACACACAACACATACCCATACCCATACCCCAACATACAAATACACACACAGAGACACACACACAAACACACAGACACATACACACAAACTCACATACAAAGACACAGCCCTACACATCCCCCAGACCCTCAACACACACACGACACACACGCACACATGCAAGCGCGCACACACACCCGAACACACACACCCCCCCACAAATACCCCCACACACACCCTGTGACACACACCCTCAACACACACACACACATGCACACGTGTGCACATGTGCATACACACACATGGGTCCCATGGAACCAGTCATTCTGCACAATAGGAAACTTGTTCCTTCTGATTAGAACTAGTCCCTTTCTTAGAAACTCTGAGAGGGGGTCACAGAGGAAAGTCTCTCTGTCCTGACACACAGGTGTAGCCGAAACCTAACCTAGCATGTAAAATCCAGTAGCTATCACAGCTCTTGTCTTCCCAGTTGGCTGAGAAGTTAAGGGAGCTGGTGTTCACTGAGAAAAAAGAGGTAAGCAGAAGCCCAGAGAAGGAACCAAAGGTCCAAGAGAAAGGACTCTCAGGTTATTGTAGATCCCACTTCCACAGTCAACATCTAGCTGTGTCTTTGCCTTTGCATTTGGGGGAACACCTCCATATCTTTCCAGTCAGTGCCTGCTTCTGCCTGAGGCAGTCTGAATTAGGTTTCCGTTACCTGCACCCAGAGACTTGGCCCATGACAGGCAGTCAAGAAACACTTGGATGGAAGCCATGAACCAATTTGTCAGGGCCCATTTATCGTTCACTTTGTATTTGTAGCCCAGATCATAATTCCTGGCACATTTTACAGCCCTAACATATGTCTGCTGAATGGCAACCAAATCAAGGCAGCCTATAAACACAAGATAAATTGTATGACACCGACAGTGACTTTGAGGAAAAGGTTAAGGAAGGAAAATATCACAGTAGACTGGCACTGTGGGTGCGGACAGGTTTTGCAGAAAAAGTGGTGCATGAGAAGGGTCCTAAGTGACAAGTCAGAAGCCAAGAGGAGGAGGGGAACAGCCGGTGAGCTGTGCTATGTTGAACATGGCGCTCCCACCTAGCTGGTCATCCTTTCCAGTGATTCCTGCCACACATCCCAGTCCTTGGGGAGGTTTAAATGTGAAGGAATTAGAACAATTTAACCAAATGTATCAGAATGTATATGCCCAAATGAATGCTGTCTCCTTCAAAGCACAGTCCATATTCTTTTTTATTTTTTATTTTTGAGATGGAGTCTCGCTCTGTCACTCAGGCTGGAGTGCACTGGCACAATCTTGGCTCACTGCAAGCTCCGCCTCCTGGGTTCACGCCATTCTCCTGCCTCAGCCTCCCGAGTAGCTGGGACTACAGGCGCCCACCACCACGCCCAGCTAATTTTTTTTGTAATTTTAGTAGAGACGGGGTTTCACTGTGTTAGCCAGGATGGTCTCGATCTCCTGACCTCGTGATCCGCTGGCCTTGGCCTCCCAAAGTGCTGGGATTACAGGCGTGAGCCACCGCGTCTGGCCCATATTCTTATTCTAAAGATGCTAGGACTGCTCAAAGCGTTTTAGGAATTTATAGGACTTTTTGGCAGAATAGTCTTTTGAATAATTTCATTGGTAAAAAAACCAAATGTCATAAAAGAAAAAGAGTCTAGTAAATCACACCTCCCCAGAAAAGTGTTCCTACAATGCCCTTCTTTGAGCTCTGTGTGAGATACTGCCCTGATATAGTTTGGATGTATGTCCCTTCCAACTCTCCTGTTGAAATGTGACCTCCAATGTTGGAGGGGGGGCCTGGTGGGAGGTGTTGGATCATGGGGGTAGATCCCTCGTGAATGGCTTAGTGCCATCCTCTTGGTGATGAGTGAATTCTCGCTCAGTTGGTTCACGTGAGATCCAG
The DNA here is from genome assembly GCF_000001405.40 of Homo sapiens. Lineage (NCBI taxonomy): Eukaryota > Metazoa > Chordata > Mammalia > Primates > Hominidae > Homo > Homo sapiens. Next base: position 178,943,367 of record NC_000005.10, on the reverse strand, counting down.
TTGTTTAAGAGTCTAGGACCTCCCACTTCTCTCTCTTGCTCCCTTTCTCACCGTGTGATACACCTGCTCCCCCTTCACCTTCTGCCATGATTGGAAGCTTTTAAAGTCCTCATCAGAAGTGGATGCTGACACCATGCTTCCTGTACAGCCTACAGAACCGTGGGCCAATTAAACTTCTTATCAATTCCCCAGCCTCAGATATTTATTTAGAGCAATGTAAAAAGGGACTAATACATGCTTTTACCACTTCAGATCCCTAATCTTACTTGCTAGTGAAAAGAGTACAGGTTTTGATTTCACAGGGACCTGGGTTCCAGTCCCAGCTGTGACATTTATGTGACCTTTAGCAAGTTATACAGCTGCAACACCCACCAGGATGAGCCGGATATGGGGCGGGGTTGGAGGGTGTTGGTTGGGGAGAGGCAACTGAGGTCAGTGTCTGGGTGGGACTGGATTGGGAATAAAGCTCCCGGTCTGAGGAAGCAAACATGCCACACTCTTCAAATCCAGAAAGCAATTTAGGGGGAAGAAACCCCCACTCACCTGGACCATGGTTGGCAGGTGGCTGACAGCCATTCTTTCTTCTCCGATGAGCCCTCTTAGGGACAGGCAAAGTGCTATGGAGGCAGGTGTGGAGCTTCACACCTGCAGGACTCCTCAGGCTAGAAGGGTCCACACACCTGCTATTAGGAGAGAACTGGGTCAAAAGCTCTCATACAGCAGTCCAGAGCGAGGCAGTGAGCATTCACATCCTGGGAGGCCTCCAGTACCCCAAGCAGTGAGTGTTTTGGTTCCTGTTTGCTCCCCATTCTCTCTCCTCCTTCTGAGGGTACTATACATTGACTTTTCCCTGCAGAAAGCCTGCTCCAGGTCCAGTTCTCATGCCTTCCACCCACCCTCTGGTCTTTCCCTTCAGCCTCACTGAGCGATCTCAAGAGAATTCTTTTTTTGTTTGTTTGTTTGAGACAGAGTCTCGCTCTGTCACCTAGGCTGGAGTGCAGTGGCACGATCTTGGCTCACTGCAACCTCCGCCTTCCGGGTTCAAGCGATTCTCCCGCCCCAGTCTCCGGAGTAGCTGGGATTACACGCACCCGCCACCACGCCCGGCTAATTTTTTATATTTTTAGTAGAGACCGGGATTTCACCATGTTGGTCGGACTGGTCTCGAACTCCGGACCTCAGGTGATCGGCTCGCCTCGGCCTCCCAAAGTACTGGGATTACAGGCGTGAGCCGCCGCACTCGGCCGAGAATTATCTCTTTAACAAGTTATTCAGCTCCAGAACCCACCAGGATGTACCCGAAAAGGTGGGAGCGCTGGGGAGAGGCAACGGAGGGCAGTGTCTGGGTTCGACTGGATTGGAAGACCGCTCCGCTCTCCCTCTGCGGCTTTGGAACAGCTGCCTTATCTGGCAGTGACAGGAGAAGAGGAAAAGGAGGGTGGTCTTCTTCCTCCTCAGAAAGGAGGCTAAGAAGGCTCTTCACTGTCGAAGCCTCTCAGGCAAACCCTTCTCTGGCCTCAGTGTTCTCACTCTCTGGGGCCCAGTCTGGGTGGCCTGGAGTCACGGGTGGGCAGAAGCGGCGTTTGTGTGAGCTGGGCGGGAGGGGAGAGGGAAGGGTTAGGAACCCTAATCACACACAGCCCCGTCCCGCCCCTGCCGCTTCGCCAGGTCCCTCGGGGGCTGTGGCAGGGGCTGCGCAGCGGCTGCCTCCGGCCTTGGCGAGTTCCTGGCGCAGGACTCGGAACCACGCCAGGCGTGTATCTATCACCTGAGAGGAAACCCTGGGCTTCTCGGAGTCCGCTCCAAGACACATGCCAGAGGCCCTGGCTCCATCTCCTCCACAGGCACTCACAGACTCGACCCTCAGCCCAGGATGACCACCCCTGGCCGTCCTCCCTCTCTGGGATCAAATCTCAGACATACATTCCGGGAAGTTTGGGGCATTCGATCAGCGTCCTCCAGAATGGACCACAACCCGCACCTCCTCGGCTTTGCCTCCGCCCTTCTCCCCAGACGACCTCACGACCGCTCCCGCTCTCCCTCTGCGGCTTTGACCACCGTGCCTGGTCAGCCCCGTGTCGCTCTTCGAGGAGCCTCTGCCGGCGGCGAGAGATCGCAAGCGCCACATCGCAGTCAGAACACAATGAGCTGGAGTCTGCAGCCGGGAGCCGAACTGCGCTTGCGCGTTGCCCTGGGAACCCTTGGGCCGAATTCCCACAAGTCTCAGGGCTGCTGCAGTTCCGCCGGCCAGACTCCACTTCCCAGAGGGACAATCGGCGGAGACAGTGCTGCCTTGCGCCTGCGGGAACAGGGCCCGGCCCCGGCGCTTTAGGCGCGGAAACTACCTTTCCCAGAGACCCCTCCACGCCGACCTCAGCGCGCTCATTGCAACTTACAGAATCGGTTCCGTTCCGTTCGCTTTAGAACCAGGTCTCTGCCTTGCACTAAGGCGCAGGAAGATGCAGATCAGCGAAAAGCTGAAGATGGGGCAAGGGAGGTTAGTCCAGGGGAGCGACGCCCGATCGCTGACGAGAGAGGATCGGGAGGGTCCGGAAGACGGAGTGGGAGGCGACAGGGCGCGTTCCTGACTGGGACCGCGCCGAAAAGGCCTGGAAGGCAACAGAATTGCCCCTTGGCCTGGCAAGCGCCCGACACTTCCAGCCTGGCACTGCGGGCGGGCCAGCGTGTGCTGGGGTGGCGACGCCACAGCCACTAACGCGTGTGCGGTGCGGGAGGACAAGGATGTCGGGCAGGGATGTCCTGCTTGGCACCTCAGGACAGAGCCCATGGTGGCTGGCGGCCCCTGGAATGTTCGGGACGCAGAACACTTCGTGCTTGGGAACTTCTCAGAGGTGGGGACGAGGGAGAGGAAGGCGCCTGGATGCCAGGAAGTCTCCATCTTGGACAGCTGGGTGGTATTTAAGAAGGTGGTATTTATTTTTGTCGACCATATTTTGCAGAGACTGGCAAGGATGAGATGATGCCTAAGAATATCCAACTGGAGATACTTAGTTGCTTTTGAATAGGTAATTTGCATGGAGCTCAGGAAGGAAAGATGAGAGGGTTTTAACTTTGTTGGTCGTTAAAAAAAATCAAGAATGTGACCTGTTTGTCACATACGGAATTGTTGGCCACGTTTTAGGAAGCAGTGTCAGTGACTACAGCATTCTGTTTGGAGTTTTATTGAAGATTTCATTCCATAGACACTTTGGAGCACTTATGTGTCAAGTGCTTGACAAGGCCAGGGTCAGCCGCTGTGCAGCCCCTGTAGCAGTTCCCAGGGACCCGGCAAAGCACCAGAGGGGGAGGATGTTGTGTGAGTATCGCTGGTAACCCTTCTCTCTCGCCTCCCTCGTGACTCCAGGTCACTCAAACTGGGCTCCAGAGAGTAAGAACCCCGAGTCCAGGGGCTGGAGAAATAGCTGTGAAAACCCTGCACTCATGGAGTTTTAATTGTACTAGAGGAGGGGTCAGACAAGTAGAAAGTATTTATCTGGTAGTGATAACACTACTGTTAGGGGTTAGGGTGTGATGGGGCGGGGAATTATTTCAAGCAGCAGTTTTGGAAGTTCTCTTTGAGGAGGTAACACCTGAGCAGAGATTTGAATACAGTGAGGGAAGAAACGATGTGACTGTATGGGTAAAGTGCCTTCTAAAGGGAGGGAACAGAAATGCTGACCAGAGAGAAGTGTGCTTGGTGAACTCCAGGCTTGGCAAGGTCAGTATGACTGGCGAGGGCCTACTGAACAAGGAAGACTGCGAGATGCTGTTGCAGGAGTAACTACAGGCCTTGAAGGAAGGAAATTTGGATTTATTTCTGTGCCTGGAAATGATTAGATTTGAAAGAGTGACATGGCTGGGCACGTTTTGATAGACGCACTGGTCAGCTTCAAAGAAGGCAGACAGTGGTGGGGCTAGAGGGGATACAGGAAGACCAATGAGGAGGCAATGACAGCAGTCCACAATTACAAGTAGCCTCCCACAATTATATAACCTTTCCACAAGGCATTTGCTTTGAGAGCCTAATGATTCTAAGATATTGAAGGGTTTTGGGTGCTATGCTCAGGAGTTTGGATATTATTGTTTTCAGGAATTTAAGAATGATAATATGTATTGAGCACTAACTACATGTTGGGAGTTTTTTTGTTTGAGACACAGTTTCACTTTTGTTGCCCGGGCTGGGGTGCAATGGCATGACCTCGGCTTACCGCAAGCTCCGCCTCCCGGGTTCAAGCAATTCTCCTGCCTCAGCCTCCCCTGTAGCTGGGACTACATGCATGCGCCATCACGCCTGGATAATTTTGTACTTTTAGTAGAGATGGGGTTTCCCCAGGTTGGTCAGGCTGAACTCCTGACTTCAGGTGATCCGCCCGCATCGGCCCCCTAAAGTGCTGGGATTACAGGCATGAGCCACTGCGCCTGGCCATGTTGGGCACTTTTACAAGCACTTTACATTATCTAATGCAACCAAAAACTGAGGTTTGCCCTATTAATAAATGAGAAAACTGAGGCACTCATCTGTTAAGTGCCTTGCTCAGGTCCCATGTCCTTGGAACCAGGAGTCCTTCTCCTGTTGATGTTGGAAGGTTCAAAAGTGCTCTTATTACTTGTCACCCAGATGGCAAAGAACTGACATACAAAGGCCCAAGTCTTCCAGAACTGAAAACAGTAATAAAACCTTCATTTATCTGACCCATTTGTCCTGGTGATGCTGTAGTCTGTTAGGAGTACCTAACAGGTGCCCTTCCACAGCCAACTAAAAAACAAAACTATTCAAGCTGAAGAGAAGCAGTGAAACCTCTGATATGAAGCCTGACACACCCTTTGACTTTAGCCAGGACTCACACACTATATTGTTCTGAGTATTCACTGAGGAAGCCCCCGCTTCTGTCAAGGATTCTCATCAGGAACCAGTCTCCTCGGAGAAAGGAGGTTAAAACGTGGTCTGGAGAACCCCTTTCCCTTCTGCTCTATTAACTATGGATATGCAAATGAACACTTACATTTGACCAAGACCTCCATCACCAGTCTGCTTACGCTTCCCCAGGACAGTGGCTACGTGCCAGTAATTCCTGGTGTCCATTTGCTGAGCCCTGTTGGGACCCTTGAAGCGTGATATAATAAGGTCTTCCTTTAGCCTCATTTCTTCCTGCTTCTTGACTTCTACTCTATGCTTAAATCATACATCTCTTAGAATTTCCTGAATATACACTATGCTCTCTTAGCCTCTCTTGCCATTACTCCTATTCTTCCCTGCACCTTCTCATTTCCTCCCGTCTTCTGTTCACCCAACTAGTTCACTCTTATGGCACTGTGTGCTAGGAGCTACTTGACAGCAGAGAGCAGGCGTCATTTACCCTGGAATTCATAGAAGCTGACTTATGCTAGGAGCTCAATAAATGTTAGTTGCTTGAATGAACTACACTATGAGTAGGAACAAGGTCTTACTCATCCTTGTCACAATAACATGCAGCACAGGCCAATTACTTATGAGTCTCTTGACCACAGACCATCAGATCATGCCAATGTGTATATAGGCAGGGAAATAACCTACCTCAATTAAGTTATAAGCATTCATAAATTTTTCAGAGACCCTTCTCCTCCAGATCTGTTGTGATATTTTTCAGGAGCCAGAGGCAGTTGGAAGCTATGCAGTATCTAGGAGAGGGGTACTGGCACCATATTCTGCAGCTCCACTTTTATTCGTTAAAGAACCCTGACTGGTAACCTCTTTAAATGCCCAGAGGCCCATTTCACAGAGCTCAAGTGGAGGGAATGGCCCTATTTGAGTCTTTTGAATGATGATCCAGCCATAGAGGAAATACCCTGGTCACCCAATTCTCTATAGTTCCAGAGGGCGCTGTGTTTCTTGCTACCTTCAGAGTTACCCTAGTGCATCCTAACTCCTGGTTTATTTCAGACTTCCCTACCTTGAGCTCCTTCTGAGCTCTAAATCACTAGCAACTACTGAGTAGGTGCTCAGTAACTATCTCATGACATATTGGTCGTATCTGTCAGTTTGCTGCACACCGGCCCGACTGCATGGACAGCGATCACATGGCGGGCCTCCTCCCACCAGCTGACTGGATGGGTACTTAGCCAGAAAAGGTGACTTGTGAGGCTTGTCTTAAAAGGATGATCTGGACCAAATGGTTTTCTTTCGTGGAATTTTAGAATTAGGACAGACACTTGGATGTTAGAAGATGAAAGTTCACTAGATAGGAGAGCTGATACTGACATCTTGGGTCATGTGCAAATTTAATCGTAAACAAAGGAATCCAACCACCAGTGAGGGGATGGACAAAGCAGTAACAGAGCCCATGTGGTGGTGGTAGCAGTGGCGAGGGGTGGGGGACGAAGACAGAGGGAGAGAGCATGCACACGTCCTTGGCTGCTGGTGATTCCCAGGTGCCACAAGGCCTGGCTGTACTGTACTTTAAGTTACCAAAAAATCCTCATATATTACTGAAACTTCAGTTCTGCCTGAGAACGGACACTGAAATGAAGGGCCCTCTCTCCCAGACCCTTATACTCCCAGTACTCCTCCCAGTTGGATTCCTTTGCTTACAATTAAATTTGCACATGACCCAAGATGTCAGCATCAGCTCTCATATCTAGTACTTTGATCTTCTAACACCCAAGTGCCTCTGTCCTAATTCTGAAATTCCACAAAAGAAACCCAATTGGTTTCTTTATTGTTTCACAAATAAAGAGCACCCTTCCCTTCATTCCAAGTTTGGAGGCTGGAGGAGGATGGGGCAAATCATTGACACTGAGATTCTCCACTCTTCTGCCCTCGCCTCCTTCCACACACATACACTTCTCAACTCAGCATGCAGATCCTGGGTCTCCTTGCCTATACTCAAATACAAACCATTGGAGTTAAAACAGAAAGAAGGGGGAATAAAACATCAAATTAGCTGTATCCTCAGGAACTTAGATTTTTAATAATCTCTCTCTTCTACAGGGTCTCCTCCTTCCTCTTCAGATATTTTTTTTCTTGTTCCCCACATGATCTCAAGAGAGAGAGCTAGAGGGGAAGAAAGGAGGCAGACAAAAGAAATGGGTAGAAAATAGATGGAAATGATAATGACAGCAGCAAAATAAACGCTCAGAAGGCAGGCACAGGACAAGAGAGAAAGGGAAAAATGAAGGGTTTTGAAGCCTAGGATGGATGCAATGACTCAAAACTGGTAAAATATTAACCTTGAGAGGTCACCTAGCCAAGAGAGACTGGAAGACTGGATGCTGAAGGTTCAAACAGTTAAGAGTTCACAGGAACTTCCTCCGTTGCCACCCACGAATGTCTTCTGTACCCATCATTTGTGGCGTCACATCTCTCCCAGGGAAAAGTTTCCTTCCTCCTGTTGAAAGTGATCCCTGCAGCCTCCACCTGTGTTCCAGATCTTCCCACTTTGAGCTGCGTGTCCCCTCCTTTCTGGACCTTCACTCTTCCACACCTCTTTTTTCAGTTATGAACTTGCTCAATCCTACCTTAAATCATACAAACACTTCCTGGCAGATTGTTGGCTGGCTAAATCAACACCATTCTCAACCCCCCTTTTTTTGTGCCTGCCTCCTCTATAGAGGCTGGAAGGGTTAAATACTTCTTTCCACAGCCTTCCTTGTGCTAGGGGGTGGCCATGCAACACAGCTGTGGTCAATGAGATATAAGCAGGAGTCTGCTGAGTGGCTTCTGGGAAAAACTCTCCTGATCGAAGGCACTAAATGTTGCTGGTGCTCTCCTCCCCCTTCCCTCCTGCCTTGAATGCAGATACATTACTTGATACTATGGCCATCATGATGTAACCATGATGGAAACCACATTAAACTCAAGACACTGAATTGTTTTATCTGTGAAGAAGTGACAGCCACTTCCAGATTTGTTATGTGAGAAAACTAAATCTCTACTTTCTTACACCATCACGGACTGGGCTTTCCATTGCGTGCAGCCCACAGCTCTTCTGGTACGCTCCAAGCCCCAGCCTCCCTCTATAGTTACCTTTCTGAGTTTCTCCCACCTCAGTAAGGCTGCTAAGTTCTTCTGAACATTTAACTCACTCTTCAACCCACTCAAACAGAGGTGTTAAGCCATCTGTCTTAAACTGATAGCCCAAACAAAAGGACATAGTTCTGGTTTTTTGTTTTTTTTTGAGATGGAGTCTTGCTCTGTTGCCCAGGCTGGAGTGTAGTGGCACGATCTCGGCTCACTGCAAGCTCTACCTCCCAGGTTCATGCCATTCTCCTGCCTCCTCAGCCTCCCGAGTAGCTGGAACTACAGGCATGTGCCACCATGCCTGGCTATTTGTGTGTGTGTGTGTGTGTGTATTTTTAGTAGAGACAGGGTTTCACCATGTTAGCCAGGATGGTTTTGATCTCCTGATCTCGTAATCCGCCTGCCTTGGCCTCCCAAAGTGCTGGGATTACAGGCGTGAGCCACTGCGACTGGCCGACATAGTTCTGTTTTTATCTTTGCCCTCCATAGCATTTCACAGTATTAACTATTCCTATCGCTGTGTTAAAGCTATCTTTTTACCTTTGTGGCACCAACTTTTGATTTTTCTATTTTTCTTTTTGCTGTTTATTCCACTTAGCGTCTACTGCTTCCTCTTTTTACCACCTAACCCATCAATGACAGTCCTGCAAATGTGTCTCCTTTATCACTTACTCTGCTGCCTATCAGGACCCTTCCCTTGGATGTCCCACAGACTCATGGAAATGTACCCAAAGTGAACTCATCATTGCCCCACAAAATTGGGCAACTATAGGTGTTTTTAATTATGGCAACCTTATCTACCAAAATAAGAACTCCAAGTCATCCTAGACTCTTCCTTCTCATTCAAGTGGCACATTTAGTCATTTACCAAATTTCCTAGATTCTGCTTGTGATTGCTTGTATTCTTCCTCTCCTCTCCCATCATACTGCCACTTTTGTAGTTTAACCCTTATAAATCAAAGAATATGTCTTACTCATTTTGATTTTCTAATCATGTCTAACACATATTTAGGACTTGGTATATGTGTGTGAAATAAACAAAGCTATCTTAACTACCACAGTAACTATAGATCTATAAAATCTCCCTATATTGTTTTGAGTATGTTTTTGAGGTGCAACGTTTTTGTTTTTTGTTTTGAGACAAAGTTCTTACTCTGTTGCCTAGGCTGGAGTTCAGTGGCACAATCACTGCTCACTACAGCCTCAACCTCCTGGGTTCAAGTTATTCTCTCACCTCAGCCTTCTGAGTAGCTGGGACTACAAACATGTGCCACCATGCCTGGTTAATTTTTTGAAAACTTTTTGTAGAGACAAGGTCTCACTATGTTGCCCAGGCTGGTCTTGAGCTCTTGAGCTCAAACAGTCATCCTGCCTCAGCCTCCCAAAGTGCTGGGATTACAAGCATGAGCCACTTTGTCCAGCCTCAACATTTTGTTAACAGGTCAGATGGCTATGTCTGTTAGTGTTCAGCCCCCGTCTTTTCTTTTCTACTTTGATAGCCAGAATATGACACAAAGATATGTGATTCCTTTGTACTTACAGGACTATGTTATTTTCTAAATGATCATTTAACAACAGTTTAATAACTATTAATTGAGAACTCAAAACAGCATGCTATTGCATTAAGATTTGCATACTTGGCCGGGCACGGGGGCTCATGCCTGTAATCCCAGCACTTTGGGAGGCCGAGGTGGGTGGATCACGAGGTCAGGAGATTGAGACCATCCTGGCTAACATGGTGAAACCCCATCTCTATTAAAAATACAAAAAAATTAGCCAGGCATGGTGGCAGGCGCCTGTAGTCCCAGCTACTTGGGATGCTGAGGCAGGAGAATGGCATGAACCCAGGAGGTGGAGCTTGCAGTGAGCTGAGATCAAGCCACTGCACTCCAGCCTGGGCAAAAGAGCGAAACTCCATCTCAAAATAAATAAATAAATAAATAAATGAAAACATTTGCATACTTATTCCATTAATTTATGGAAACCAGCCTGTAGTTAGGGGACAAAATAACAATGCAGGGGAAGATTAGGGGCATGGAAGGGTACTAGGAATTCGTAAAGGTAAATCATTTTGACTAAAAGGATCCAAGGAAACCAGATTGTGGAACAAGAGCATCTAGACTGCATACAGACAGCATAAGATCGTAAAAGAACAAAGATTTCCCAGCATTCATTATATTTATAGAGTTGTAGCATTTTAGAGCTAACAGAGCTCCTACAAGATTTCTAACTCCAAAATCATTCATTTACCAAATAAAGAACCATAACCTGGTGGAAGTAGGCAAGTTGTCCAAGGCAGTGGCAGATTAGGACTACATACCAGGTCTCTGGGCTGTCCAGTTAAACACTCTCACATTTTTCTCTCCAGTGTAAAGTCTCTGATAGCCAAAGGAGAATGTGCGGTATGATATAACAGAACTTATCTTCAGCATGACTCTTCATTGTTTATATTAGCTATTTAAACCTTCTGATATAAAGGAAATTATACATTCTGAATCAAGATTTCTCTACTTTTAGATGGATTCTCTGCAGTGGTATTATCTGATATGACATATTGTACTTCAACTGAAAGATTCCCACAATCATTACATTTATTAGGTTTCTACATTGTATGTCTCATATGATTATTACTGAAGAGTTAATCATGAGGTAAGGGCCAGTGAAAACATTCCTCACGTATGAGTTCTTTGATGTCGTGTAAGGTTTGTACTCCGGCTGAAGGCTTTTCCGCATTCATTACACTGATAGGGTTTCTCTCCTGTATGAGTTCTCTGATGCACTGTAAGGGATGAATTCTTAATGAAGGCTTTTCCACACTGATCACATTCATAGGGTTTCTCACCAGTATGAATTCTTTGATGTTCAATAAGGTAAGCACTCTGGCTGAATGCCTTTCCACATTCATTGCACTCATAAGGTTTCTCTCCAGTGTGAATGACCTGATGCACGGTAAGGGATGATCGTCCAGTGAAATGTTTTCCACACACCATACACTCATAAGGTTTCTCTCCAGTGTGAATTCTCCGATGTTGAGTTAGAGATGAATTCTTACTGAAAGCTTTTCCACACTCGTTACATTCAAAAGGTTTTACTCCAGAATGAAGTCTCTGATGTTCTATAAGATATGTACTTTGGCTAAAGGATTTCCCGCATTTGTTACATTTGTAAGGTTTTTCTCCAGTGTGATTTCGCTGATGTAGGGTAAGAGTTGAGCTCTTACTAAAGGCTTTTCCACATTGACTACACTCATAGGGTTTTTCTCCAGTATGGCTTCTCTGATGTACAATAAGATGCATGCTTTGACTGAAGGCTTTTCCACATTCATTACATTCATAGGGTTTTTCTCCTGTATGAGTTCTCTGATGAACTGTCAAATTCATGCTTTGGGTAAAAGCTTTACCACATTCATTACATTTGTAGGGTTTCTCTCCAGTATGAATCCTTTCATGCTGAATAAGAGATGAATTCTTATGGAAGGCTTTGCCACACTCTTTACACTGATAGGGTTTCTCTCCGGTGTGAGTTCGTTGATGGACAGTAAGATTCATGCTCTGACTAAAGGCTTTCCCACATTCATTACATTTATAGGGTTTCTCTCCAGTATGAATTCTTTGATGTACAGTAAGGGAGGATCGTTCAATGAAGTGTTTCCCACATACATTACACTTATAGGGTTTCTCCCCAGTATGAATCCTCTGGTGCTTAAGAAGGGATGAGCTCTGACTGAAGGTTTTGCTGCACTGATTACATTCATAGATCTTCTTTCCTACAAACATTCTTTGAGTTTTAATTAACTCAGAATTTTGTGTGGCATCTTCTCCATGTGAATTACAGTTATGGGGCCTTTTTACCATAGGAATGCTTTGCTGTGTATCAAGGATTGAATCCTGACTGGAACATCTTTCAAATTCATTACCTCCACATACTCTCATCTCAGTGAAGGTTTCCTTATGGGTAACTCCCACTTGGCTCAGATGACTATCCTGTTGTCCCTCTAACCAATTATTAGGTTCCCAGGTTTCCCCTAGAGTAGAATGCCAGATACCTTCCCTTTCCATTGTTACCCCATGGCATAAATCTTCAGTAATACCCGGCTTCGGAGTTGGCTCTTTGGTTTCAAGTCTTGTCTCCCAGTCTGAAAAAAAAAAAAAATTCAAATGCACATTGGTTTCTGTGCTAGGAGACTGGAAACTGCATAAGGTAGGAATGAGAGAATTAAACTAGCTATCAACTAAAATAACTGCTGAGCACATTTGAGAGCTTTCAAACATGTACCCAAAATTAGGTAGAGAAATAGGAAGGGAGAGAAACAACAGTGAACTGATCCAAAGATAACAGGGGAACTGAAAGCAGGGGATGGCAGATGTACTGCATAAGCAGAGAAAAGAGTGAGCCCATTCAGGAGGGATGGACAGTGAAGGCACTGACCACTGGAGTAGGCTACATAATGAAGATGGAACTAAGGAAACACATGCAGAAGAGCTGGGATTGGGAAAGGCAGATCAGGAAACCCTGCACACTGTACCTGGTATTCCTGCCAGAAGTTTCTTTCCTCCTACGAGGCCACCTAGAATCCTACACCAAATTAATCTTCCTAAAATGTCACAGTGTGACACAATGTAAAGATTGCTGACTCAAAGTCAGACAAACTTGGATTCAAACCGTGGCTCTTAACACCATCTTAACTAGTTACTTGTCTCACTGGCTCTGAGGGTCACAGATATAAAATGAGGATTAAGAAATATGGTCAAGCCCGGGTGTGGTGGCTCATGGCCGTAATCTCAGCACTTTGAGAGGCCAAGGCAGGCGGATCACTTGAGGTCAGGAGTTCAAGACCAGCCTGGCCAAAATGGTGGAATCCCATCTCTACTAAATACACAAAAATTAGCTGGGCATGGTGGCAGGCGCCTGTAGTCTTAGCTACTTGGGAGGCTGGGATGGGAGAGTTGCTTGAACCCAGGAGGTGGAGGTTGCAGTGAGCTGAGGTAGTACCACTGCACTCCAGCCTGGGTGACAGAGTGAGACTCTGTCTCAAAAAAAAAAAAAAAAAAAAAAAAGGAAAGGGAAAAAAAAAGAAAGAAATATGATATAGGAAGTAAATAAAATGAAATATGATAGGAAGTAAGTAACATAATCTAGGTGGTATAGTTTGGATGTGTGTCCCCACCCAAATTTCATATTGAAATGTAATCCCCAGTGTTGGAGGTGGGGCCTTATGGGAGATGATTGGATCATGGGAGTGGTTTCTTATGAATGGTTTAACACCATCCCCCTTGGTACTGTCCTCCCTATCATGAGTGAGTTCTTGTGAGATGTGGTTATTTACAAGTGTGTAACACCTCCCTCCTCACTCTTGCTCTTGCCATTTGATGTGCCTGCTCCCCTCTCACCTACTGCCATGACTGTAAGCCTCCTGAGCCCCCCCCCCCACCGTCAAGCAGATGCTGGCACTATGCCTCTTGTACAGGAACTGTGAGCCAATTACACCTCTTTTCTTATAAATCACCCAGTCTGAGGTATTTCTTCATAACAATGTGAGAATTGAGTAATACAGAAAATTGGTACGGGGAAGTGGAGAATTTCTATAAAGATACCTGAAAATGTGGAGGTGACTTTGGAATAACTGGGTAACAGGCAAAGGATGGAAGAGTTTGGAAGACCCAGAAGAAGATAGGAAGATAAGAGAGAGTTTGGAACATCTTAGAAACTGGTTAAATGGTTATGACCAAAATGCTGATAGTGATATGGACAGTGAAGTCTTGGTTAAGGTCTCAGATGGAAATGAGGAACTTACTGGGAACTGCAGCAAAGGTCATTTTTGCTATGCTTTAGCAAAGACCTTGGCTGTACTGTGCCCCTGCCCTAGGGATCTGTGGAACTTTGAACTTGAGAGAATGGTGATTGAGGGCATCTGGTGGACGAAATTTCTAAGCAGCAAAGCACACAAGAGGTGGGTTGTCTGCTAACAATCTATGCTCAGATGTGAGAACAAAGAAATGACTTAAAACTGGAACTGGTATTTAAAAGGGAGTAAGTGGAACATTTGCAGCCTGGCCATGTGGTAGAAAAGAAAAGCCCATTTTCAGGGAAGGAATTCAAGCAGGCTGCAGAAATTTGCATGAGTAAAAAGGACCCAAGTACTAGTAAGCCAAGACAATGGGGAAAAGGCCTCAAAGGCATTTCAGAGACCTTCACAGCAGCCCCTTCCACCAGAGGCCTAGGATGACTGAATGGTTTCCTGGGCCAGGCCCAGGGCCCGGTGCCCTGCACAGCCTTGGGACACTGCTCCCTGCATCCCAGCTACTCCAGATCCACCCACGGCTGAAAGGGGCCAGGTTACAGCTCAGGCTGCTGCTTCAGAGGGTGCAAGCTGTAAGCCTTGGCAGCTTTGATATGGTATATAAAGCCTGTGGGTATACACAGTTGAACAGTTAAGGCTTGGGAAACTCTATCTAGATTTCAGAGGATGTATAGAAAAGCCTAGGTGTCCAGGTAGAAGCCTGCTGCAGGGGCAGAGGCCACACAGAGAACCTATACTAGGGCAGTGCAGAGGAGAAATGTGGCATTGGAGCCGCCATGTAGAATCCCCACTGGGGCACTGCCTGTGAGAAGAGGGCCACTGCCCTCCAGACTCCAGAATGTAAGATGCACTGGCAGTTTGCACCCTGCATGTGGAAAAGCCAGAGACATTCAACTACAACCCATGAGAGCACTGCAGGGACTGAACACTGCAAAGCCATGTGGGCAGATCTGCCCAAGGCCTAGGGACTCCACCCCTCGCAGCAGAGTGCCCTGGATATGAGATACAGAGTCAAAGAAAATAATTTTGAAGCTTTAAGATTTAATGACTGCCCTGATGGTTTCTGGACTTTCATGGGGCCTATAGCCCCTTTCTTTTGGCAGAGAGTTCTCCCTTTTGGAACAGGAGTGTTGACCCAATGCCTATACCCCCAGTATATCTTGGAGGTAACTAACTTGTCTTTTATTTTATAGGCTCATAGGTAGAAGGGACTTGCCTTGTCTAAGATGAGACTGTGGACTTTTGAGTTAATGTTGGAACGAGTTAAGACTTTAGGGATTAGTGGAAAGGCAAGATTGTATTTTGAAATGTGAGAAAGACATAAGATTGGGAGGGGCCAGGGGCAGAATGATATGATTTCATTTGGATGTGTGTCCCCACCCAAATCTCATATTGAAATGTAATCCCCAGTGTTGGAGGTTGGGCCTTATGGGAGGTGACTGGATCATGGGAGTGGTTTCTTATGAATGGTTTAGCACCCTCCCTCTTGGTACTGTCCTCCCTATCATGAGTGAGTTCTCATGAGATCTGGCCACTTAAAAGTGTGTAGCACCTCCCCCTGCCACTCTCTCTTGCTCCTGGTTTTATCATTTGATATGCCTGCTCCCCTTTTGCCCTCCACTATGACTGTAAGCCTCCTGAGGCTTCCCTACAAGCAGATGCTGGCACTAATGCTTCCCGTACAGCCTGTAGAACCATAAGCCAATTAAACTTTTCTTATAAATTACCCAGACTCAGCCAGGCTTGGTGGCTCACGGCTGTAATCCCAGCGCTTTGGGAGGCTGAGGTGGGCAGAATCACCCGAGGTCAGGAGTTCGAGACTAGCCTGGCCAACATAGCAAAACCCCATCTCTACTAAAACACACACACACACACACACACACACACACACACACACACACACACACATTGGCCAGGTATGATGGTGTGCACCTGTAATCCCAGCTACTGAGGAGGCTGAGGCAGGAGAATCACTTGAACCCGGGAGGTGGAGGTTGCAGTGAGCTGAGATTGTGCCATCACACTCCAGCCTGGGCGACAAGAGCGAAACTCCGTCTCAAAAAAAAAAAACCCCAAAAATAAATAAATGAATAAATTACCTAGTCTCAGGTGTTTCTTTATAGCAATGTGAGAACAGACTAACACAGTATGTAAACTACCCTTTGAGAATATACTCCTCTGGAACATAAAGTACCAGAACATACATGAAACTTAAACTCTTAAAGGAGGATGACACAATCTAGAGGTTTCTTCCCCTTAAACTTTAAGCAGGCTGTAATTTATTCACAGGGGTAAGACAGTCCTAAGGGATACTACCATTTCCTAAATACGCATTCCTTAAAGATGAGAACTGGTGGTAGGGACAGGCCAGGGGATCTGCTAAACTGTTTGAGAGGAGGCTGGAAAAGGACCTTGTAGCTACTCAGACTTGAATTTTCTTAGATCCTATTTCTTATCCCAGACAAAATAAGGGGTAGAGGACTGGCACTGCAACCTGAGAATCAGCTTTCCGATTGCTGATCGAAGTCAACAGAGAGAGATCAACACTGAACAAACAAACCAAGGCCTATGGGCACAGGCTTTCCTGTGAAGCAAGAAATAAGCATTAACCAGGCCTCTTTCTTCCAACCTGATCTGCTTAAGTGAAAAGAGAGAAAAAGTGGAAAGACAACCAGGCTCCACTTCCAAAACACATACAACCAAGTAACCCCAAACAGAGGAACTGTCAAACTGAGTATGAAAATACCAGCAGGTGGCCGGGCGTGGTGGCTGACACCTGTAATCCCAGAACTCTGGGAGGCCGAGGTGGACGGATCACCAGGTCAGGAGATCTAGACCATCCTGGCTAACACGGTGAAACCCTGTCTCTACTAAAAAATACAAAAAAATTAGCCGGGCATGGTGGCACACACCTGTAGTCCCAGCTACTCAGGAGGCTGAGGCAGGAGAATGGCGTGAACCTGGGAGGCGGAGCTTGCAGTGAGTCGAGATCGTGCCACTGCACTCCAGCCTGGGCGACACAGCGAGACTCCATCTCAAAAAAAAAAAGAAAATACCAGCAGGTGACATGTGAATTGGCAGCTCCCTGTTGCCTCACCTCTGTACAGGGGTCAGCCAGCCAACTCAAGTTCTTTGGGAACATTTAAGGTGCTATGTATTAAACAACATAACAAGCAAAGGAGAATCCATTTACACTATTAGACAAATACAAAGTCCAGACAGAACTGCTTCTATCCAAAGATAAATTATACACAGAAAATATTAAGTTTGGAAACTATGAAGAAGTTCAGGAAATAAATTTTAAAAATAATTAAAACAGAGAATGAGAAGAAAAAAGAAGTATAAAGACCAAAAGAAGAAAGAAAAATGTTGGGAGAAAATTAAGTGCTTCTAGTCATCAAAAGACATCATAAAAAAAGATAAAAAGCTGAGTGCAGTGGCTCGCGCCTGTAATCCCAGCACTTTAGGAGGTTGATGTGGGAGGATTTCTTGAGACCAGGAATTTTAAATCACCTAGGGCAACATAGTGAGAGCCCATCTCTACAAATAATTCAAAAACTACCAGATCATGGTGGCGCACACATGTGGTCTCAGCTACTCGGAGGCTGAGGTGGGAGGATCGCCTGAGCCCGGGAGTTCAAGTCTGCAGTGAGCCGTGATCATGCTACTGCACTTCAGCCTGGGAGACAGAGCAAGATCCTGTCTCAAAATATAAAAATAAAAATAAAAGCTAAAAAAATAGAAACTACCTACTGGGAGAAGATATTTGCAACACATGACCCACAAAAAACTAGAATGGAGACTTGGAAAATAATGCTTATGAAACACCAAGCCCACTAGAAAAATGGGCAAAAGACTTGAATAAGCACTTAAGGAAAGGAAGCCTGAATGGTCTGCAAACGTAAGCAAAGATGCCCAATCTCAACAGTAACCAAGGGAAAGCCGATTAAAGCCGCAACAAGATGCCATTACCACATCCGCCCAAGTAACAAAATGTAAAAATTCAAACTGACAGCTTCAGATTTTGGAAAGATGCAATAGTGGGAACTTCCACATACTCCTGGTGGAAATCCAATCTGATTCAAGCATTGGAAAAATAGTTTAGTACAGCCTAGAGCAAGCACATGGGCTGATACAGCAAGTCTACCACTAGGTGCATGCACTTAGTAACTCCACTAGTAACTCCACCTTGCAACAGTGTGAGAATTCATGATTCTTCACACAGCACTGTGTACAACAGCAAAAACTGGAAACATCACAAATGCCCATCATCAAAAAATGGATAACAAGATCGTCAAGTGTTCATACAATGGAGTAACTGACAACAGTGAGCATTAATAAACTAAAGCTACACATATCAATATGAATGAATAAGCAAAGGCACATAATATATATGTATATGTATATATGTGTATATATATGTGTGTGTGTGTGTGTGTGTGTGTATATATATATATATATATAAAGATTCAATTTAAAGTTTTAAAACAGACCAAAACCAGATATATTGTTTAGAGATTCAATGATAAATGGCAATAGTATAAAGAGAGGGAAAGGAGGTATCACAGAAGTCAGAATACTGGTTATATCTTGGGTAGAGAGAGGTAAGAGGATGTGAATGAGGAGATGCACACAAAGCATTTCCATGGCACTAGCAATGTTCTGTTTCTTGATCTGGGCTCTGGTAACTGGATATCTGCCTTATTATTATTATTATTATTTTGAGATGGAGTTTTGCTCTTGTCGCCCAGGGTGTAGTGCAATGGCGCAATCTCGGCTTACTGCTACCTCCGCCTCCTGGGTTCAGGTGATTCTCCTGCCTCAGTCTCCCAAGTAGCTGGGACTACAGGGACTACAGGCATGTACCACCATGCCTGGCTAATTTTGTCTTTTTAGTAGAGATGGGGTTTCACCATGTTGGCCAGGCTGATCTTGAACTCCTGACCTCAGGTGATCCACCCACCTTGGCCTCCCAAAGTGCTGGGATTACTGGTGGGAGCCCCTGTGCCTGGCCTGCTTTCTTTTTTCTTCATTTGTCTTTATCATTATTAACTAAAAAGAGAAGCAGAAGGGCACAGTGGTTACGATAACACTAAGATGAAACTTCGGACTTTTGAGTTAATGAACTCAAAATGAACTCTGGAGCTCCACCACTATTAGCTGTGTGACCTTGGGCAGGTTTCTTTTTTTTTTTTTTTTGAGACAGAGTCTCTCTCTGTCATGCAGGCTGGAGTGCAGTGGAGCGATCTCGGCTCACTGCAAGCTCCACCTCCTGGGTTCACGCCATTCTCCTGCCTCAGCCTCCCGAGTAGCTGGGACTATAGGTGCCCGCCACCATGCCCGGCTAATTTTTTGTGGTTTTAGTACAGACGGGGTTTCACCGTGTTAGCCAAGATGGTCTCGATCTCCTGACCTCGTGATCCGCCCGCCTCGGCCTCAAAAAGTGCTGGGATTACAGGCATGAGCCACCACACCTTGCGTAGGTTTCTTAACCTCTCTGTGCTCTATTGTCCAAATTTGTTAAATGGTACCTATCTTATAGTGCTGATATAAGAACAAAAGTTAGTTAATAAAGGGCTTAGAAGAGTATGTAGGTTTTTGTTGAACAGTCAGATTTTACACATTCTTCTGTGTATGTATTTCAAAAATCAAATTACAAAAAGAACAAAGTATTTGCTATTCTGGAAAATATTAATCATTTTAAGTTCAAACATATTTTTGTACTACAGAAAACTTAATAGTAGGATTCAGTATACCTTCATGGAATTTAGACTTAAAAGTTAGTTCTGAGGAGTTGATGCTTACGAAAGAAAAAAAAAAAAAGATTACCTACAAATTTTTAAAAAACTGGCAGAAGAGATTTTCTCAGGAACACAGGATGCCGAAAGACAATGGGGCCATGCCTGCAAGAACTGATGTGACTCAAGAACTCCACATGGTCAGCACTCCACACATGTGCAGAGAAAGGCAAAACACAGTCTTAAATATGAAGATTCAGTAATAACAGTACTCCTAAACCATTTCTGCTATTATTTAAATATTCAATTTGAATAAAAAATAAACATGAATGGGGAAGTTAGTTTGGGTATAAAAAGACTGGCAGTGACATGCTGAATCCACTTCAAGGATGAACCTCGAAGATATTATGCTAAGTGAAATAAGCCAGTCACGAAAAGACAAATATTGCATGATTCAACTCATATGAGGTATCTAGAGTAGTCAAATTCATAGAGGCAGAAAGCGGAGGTTACCAGGGGCTGGCGGAAGCGGGGAATGGGATGCTATTGCTTAAAGGATATAGAGTTTTCATTAGGAAAGATGAAAAAGTTCTGGAGACGGATGGCGGTGCTGGTTCCACAACAATGTGAATGTATTTAAATGCCTCCAAATGATACACTAAAAATGGCTAAAATGGCAAATTTTATGTTACGTATATTGTACACATATACACACAAACACAAAACATTACAATTAAAAAAAGACACCTAAAGAATTACATTTCAACTATCTGGGAAATCCTCATGTTTGAAAATTAAGCAGTGAATTTGTAAATTCTGAGAGGTCAAAGAGGAAATCACAATGGAATGAGATAATATTTTATGTGTTACAACCAAAGCAATGCTTAGAGGAAATTATATAGCTTTCAATATTTTTTTTTCTATTATAAATACTTTATTTCAACTAGAAGGTACAATCTCTCAGGGGTTTCATAGTTTAAAAAGCTACAATCACATCATGTTGTAACTACATAAAAAACAGTGCTGTAAATGGAACTGCTTGGCTTTGACCACACACATTTCTGCACAGCCCTTACAGAATCTGCACAAAGAAATATCTCCCTTTGCTCCAGTTAATTGTTCTTGTATGTAAGTTGCTTTCTATTCCAGTATATCCAGAGTGGTGAAATAACAAGGCCAGCCACGTGGACAAAGGTCGCTCCAAGCGTACAGGAGATGGGCCATACCTGCCATGCTCTTGCCCTGTCAAGGAATAGGACGTGCTCCAAGCCATGCTCCTACAAAACTAGACATTGCAGTGATCTGGAGACTATTCTCCCATATGGATGTAACTCCATTTCTACTGAAAACTCTTAGCCATGCTTTGAGGTTTGGTCCTAACAAACATAAGTAAGGCACAATAGTAAAAGTAGACAAAATAACTGCAAATAAAAATGTTTCCAATGCCAACTCTATTAGTGGTGCTCCATATAGAACAAAAATTACATGAAAGGAGAAACAAGACATAAGAAAGTAGATACAGCATTTCAAAAATCTGGTTACCTTGTATGATAATGAACTTATTTTAGAGGATGTATTTGGTTTCACTACTAAATATAGTACTAGACTGACAGCAGTTACAAAACCAGAACAGACGCACAACCATGTCAAGTGTGTTTCCAATATTGAGGAGTTCTCCAAGAAGAGTGATGGAATGAAGACACTTAGGATAATTGAAAATATGCATAAAAGATGGGTATACAGTAGTCTCTTGATATCGGTATCTTTCATGATGTTTTCTTGGGTGGCTAGCTGACTCTCCTGCCTGCGGAAGGAGCTTTAAATGTTTTTACAGTAAATAAGAATGGCCCATAATCTGTGACCTATGTTTCCACCTTAAGAAGTTAGACAAAGATCAAATTAAAACCAAAGTAGAGGATCCTCTTCCTGATAAGGTGGAGTAGGCCTATTCCACCATGTCTCTTCCACTGATAAACCCGAACAGAAAGCATGAAGCAATTATTTGAAGGCCCTGAGAAGTAAACAGTAGCAGGTGAATTGGGGAAGAGAACCAAAATCCAAAGTACCACTGAACCAGTGGTGAGCTTCCTTTTTTTCCTCAGCTGTCTTCTGTACTAAACTTATACAGCCATCTGAAAACAGGCACTGAGGCAGGAGAAGGCAGAGGAGGTTCTCCAGGAAAAGCTCTAGGGCCGGTTCATGGAGCAGGAAAAGGACTTCTAATGCTTAGAGAGAGCAGGGGGAATTGCCTATTTTTTCCCCTTTCTCTGTTCTATTGCACCCCAGCACTTAAGCAATCCTCTGGTGGCTGCTGCAACAGCAGTGCCACTGCAAGCTGACAGGAGCTCAAAAACATGAGGAGAGGGTCCTTCTTCCCCAAGCAAGGGATCTGTGGTCCCAAGAAGGGTAGCAAGAAGCCCCACTTCATCATCTTTTCTTTGTCCTCCTGCTGCTTGGCTCTACATAGGGATGGTCACTGGAAGTCACAGCAGAGCGGGGCAACTACAGGCCCCTGCCTTGTAGCCAGAAGAGTCAAAAGGACAGCCACAGGGAAGCTGAAACTACTGCGGACATAGACAGGGGAGAATTCGGGAACATGACCTTGGAAGTTATTTAAGAACTCCTGGGCTCACCTGCGAGATACATATGCATGAATCTGACCCCCTAAGCAGCACACGTGGACTTTGAGAATAAGAGGGACCGCTGCTTAAATTCCATACTGGCCACAGAGTGACACACATGTGAGCAAGATTCAAGCAACAATGTGAAGTCTCTGACAACCAAACTGACACAGAAACCACAACCCACAGAAAGCTGGTTGGACTTTGTAGTCTGAGCTCAACCAGGTTGACTGCCTGCTAACACAGAAATATCAACATTTTCTGTTGGATTTCAAGAAGACATAGAGTTTTATAACATAATATTCTAAATGCCCATGATACCTTTTGAAGTCACTGAGAATATAAAGACCCAGGAACATTTCAACTTACATGGGAAAAGATAACCAACAGACATCAAGTGAGATGATACAATTATCTTACAAGGACTTTAAAGCATCTGCCTTACTTGTTCCAACAAGTCAGAGTGAACACACTCTAAAGAAATGGAAATAAAATCTCAGCAAAGAAAATGAGCATATAAAAAGAACTAA